>NC_000014.9:75672319-75823834 GCF_000001405.40 Homo sapiens | reverse complement strand
TTTCCCACTCCTCGGTGGCATTTCAAGTTCATACAGATGTTCTCTAGACAATGGGAGCTGGCCAGGTGGAGCAGCCCATGCCCACAATGTCTTGTCCTATCACAAAAAAGTAGGAACAAACTCACAGCTGTGCTCTTTCTGCAAATTCTCCCATCTTTCATATCGAGGAACAGACAAATGCCCAGGATGCATGTGTGAAAAAGCCAGAGGTGGATAAAAATAATTCAATGACAAATGCTGGAAAAACATACAAAGGGGCAGGAGCCAGACATTCGTGGGATTCCCTGACAGCTCGATCCACAAGGAAGGGCTGGACTGGAAAAAAACAGGGCCTCAGGTTCCTGCCAAGCTGTCTGAGGCCCTGTTCTTCCCAAATCATTCCAAGCAGCAGCCAAGACTTTACAGTAACCCTTCCATGTCTCACAAAGAAAAACGCACTAAGAACCCACTGAGTGCTCCACACCTAGAAAATCCTCCCTGATGCAGTCCAATTCCATGGAAGGCTGGCAGTAATGATGAGATGGCTCTGCACATCAACTTTCAGCTCCTAATGACTTCCCATGTACCCCAAAAATGGATAATTAAAAGGCAGCTTGAAAAATCTAATCTTTCTCATTGGCTAAAGAAAAGTTAACACACCCACGTATCAGCACCTAGAAACTGAAAACATCACTTTAAGGAAGAGAGAGGTCATAAACACTTGGTACCTGCATCCTGGAGTCCCTACTGTATAATTCTAAGTCGGCCTTGCTTGGAGGCACACCTCAGGCTTCTAAACATGTGACTGTATTTGGCTCTAACTACTTTCTCTTCCGGAGAATGGCCTGCAATTAATCTCACTTATTACCTCTGAAAAGTAACAACAGAGGGATGGCTGGCCAAGTCCAACTCCAGAGTGTCTAGGGAACTGCAAGCTACATGGCCAGGCCTCAGACTGTCTGGGCAAGTCGTGGGCTCTTTGCCTTCTTCTCCCACAACAAAGCCTGAATAGGACTCCAGACAGACCAAAGGAACCAAGGGATTTGAGGCGCTGGGCTGAGCTTACACTGACCCAATGGGAGACGACAACCCTGAGGCTACATTTGGGGTGATGTCAAAACAGCGGGAGAACAAGGTCGTTTGATGAAAACTTGTGTGATCCATAAAATTGGGAACAATAGCAACACCATAGGGAAATGAAAAATAACACCATTTGCAGAGTTCTTGTGAGTCACCAGTTTTCATTCCTGTGGCTACCAAGTCAGTGAATTCTCTGACATGCAGAGATGAAAAGTACAGCTAGCAATGGGATTCTCTTTACATTTTATTACAGTTTACAAGGCAGCCCCTAGTTTAGTGAATTATCAGAACTAAACTGGAATCCACTGTTGCTACTGTAGAAAAACTATTGAGAGTAACTTTTATTTACCTAGCACCTACTTCCAGGGAGATCAAAGTGCTTTAAAGGCAATCTAAAAGCTCTCAAAACAGGCCACTTCATATGTAAGTATGCTTACCCAATAAAAAGATTAAATGAATAGCTTAGGGTCACTTAATGTCAAACCAGTAATAAAACTCAGATCTCTAAGCTACAAATCCTGTATTCATTAAACTTAGTCATCCTTACGACTAAAGGAGGAACAACAAGAGACTAAATATCCACAAAACAGTGACTTACCAGGTATAAATGGAAACCAGGACATTGGGCTGTGCAGGTTGTATGCTGCAGGTCTGGCTGCGGCCTATATCACAGCCAAGTCTGGAAAGACCTCTGAGAATTCACTCAGGGCTCCTTTAGGTTGGGTGCCTCTGGGAATTCCATGTGGAACTGGGACTCTCAAGCTCAGGTTGCAGGCAGTGCTGGCAACCAGAGGTCACCTGGGGGTAGAGGAAAATGTCCCAGGGCTACCCTGAACTGAAATGGGACTTGAAAACTGGCTCTTGTGTTTGAAGAGGAGGTAAAGAGAAGGCTGCTGTGGGTAAAAAGAAAAGGAAAAGACCAGGGGACTTTGTGGGGATTGCTTTTTGGCTGGAATGGGTCAGAAGTAAATCGTGTAATGCACCATGAGCATTATCGCAGCCTCGTGGGCAGTCTGGCTGGGAGAAGGCCACTCACAGTACTGAACCTTAGGTCCTGGCACATCCTTAACCGAACTCATCATCTTTCATCTCACTACTAACAGGCGCTACCAAAAGAAAGCTCTAAACCCAGCCACAATTGTTATTAAAAATGTTTTCCCTCATTCCATCTACAAGTATAAAAAGTGCTAAAACTCAATTTCTCCAAAATGTGTGGTTTTAACATTTTGTTTACAGTAGGAGCAATGCCTGTAGCCTTGTCATACAGACATTATATCCAAAATTGCAGTGAAAATGTCTTCCATAAAAACAAGGCTCTGAATTTAAAATGAAAATGGAATATCTGGAAATTTTTTTATGGAAAATAAAGCTCTATGGTATAAACAGAATTTCTTGTTTATGACTGATGTTTTACAGCAGACTTCTCCTGGGGAGAGAACTGTGTGGAGGATGCTCTGCTTTAAAAAGTCCTGCGTCTTGGTCTTCGGTTCTTTATAATTCTCAGTTAAGATGATTCTTTTCGCCCCGACCACAATGATCACCGGTATGAAAGACACCGTACCGCAGGATGATGTAATGTGCTTATATCTATGCTGCTTCCTGGGCAGAGCTTCTGCTTCCCAAATTAGTTCCTTAAGTAATAATTCTAACACCAATAGATACTTTACCAACAACTAGGTATTTCCTCCATGTCCAAGTCTTCAGTACCCCCTCTGAATCTCAGGGCAAAGCAGCATACTAAAAGGCAGAGGCTGGAAGTACTGGCATGGGGCGTGAGGGCTTGGTCGGGCACCTGTGGTAAAACTTCTTTGGTTGGAGGGAACAATATCTCAGCTGGTCAAAATACTTCACTGTAACAGTCACATTTCTCTCTAGCGCATTCGACTCAGGGACTGATGCAATTTAATCCATATTTAATAGGCACTAAAGCAAGATGTGCTGGGAATCCATTTCTTTTTTTTTTTTTTTTTAATACAGGGGTAATTAAAACACACAGCAAGACCAGAATTCAATACAGTGGTTTCTTTTTTAATTTGGAAGCTGCTTACATTATTGCCAGAAGCTACGTGGATTTTATCTTTAGCCACATCTCTCAACTACATAAAGGAAATTTCCTTCCCACTTCCCAAATGAGCATTGTTCAGCGAGGTTGTTTGAGTTCAGTTATATGAAACTAGATAAAAAAATAAGAAACAAATATGTCCTTCAAAAGAACAGAGTCTACAGTTACTGAAACACAATGTAGTATAAAAAAAACTATAAACAACACAAGGTATTAAAAAAAAAACTAAGAGACAAGGACAAAGTGCAAAAAGTTGGCACATAAAAATGATGACTATAAGCAAGGTTTAAACATAGTGTAAATTCTTGCTCTTTTACCCTAAGGTGATTTTCTTAACTATCTCAGAAATGTCCTTTTCATTTGATATGCTTGAAAACTGTCTTACAAATAAAATGAGGCTCTCTTAGTCAGGTGCCAGAGGATCGAGGCAGGTGGAGAAAGGGCATATGCCTTAGTGCTATCTCCATACAGAACTCAAGGTGGGAATGGCTTGCTTGGGACACAGGCCATCCCTGAGTAACCCAAATGCTAGTTGCAGGGCCCTTCACATACCTGCTTCCAGGAGAGCTGGAGTGATTCTCGGGAGCTTGGGGGTCTGACTGTGTAGACCATGTCGGGCCACTAGGACTGATGATGGGTCGGAGGGTTGGGGGAGCTGAAGCACTGCTTCTGTTTATGATGCCAGTTGCCAAATTCAGGTTTGTTACCTAGAAATAAAGCGAGGGAAATAACCTGACTTTACAGAGTTTTTAAAAAGCATCATTAACAACATATAGGCAAAATCAAGTCAAGGCCAACAGATGCTGACCCCTCTGAGCTGAAGCTGTGGCTGTGACAAAGGCACTCAGGAAGGAATGGCTCCTGTGCACAAAGAGCAGAAGTGAGAGTGGTCAGTGTCAGTGTAAGTTAACAAGCATTTATTTTGCTCCTACTAAGTGCAGGGCACTGGACTGTGCCGGGTCTATGAAAAACAAAGACGGATAACAAAAACAGCAAGAATCTACTGAGTAGACAATGTTCAAAGAAACGAGGCGAACTAGTCTTTCTGCCCTTGTTACCTCATCTGAATGTTCTAAATGCTCAGTAAATTTTAGTTATAAATAACATTATTATAATACACAAAGAATCCACTGATTTAGAAAGAAAAAAGACGGTTAGGAGAAAAATAGTCATGGACTTCAATAAATAATGTACAAAGAAGGAATACAATTAGCCAATTAAACATGTAAAACTAGTCATCATTTCTACTGGTAAATGTAAATTATAAGAAAGACACGCAAATTACAAAGAAATGCAAGTTACAAGACATCATTTTTGCATATCACTTTGGTATACAATATTTAAAGATAGTATCCACAAATGGCAAAGGGTGAAATTAGGTACTTATACTACTTGTGTGACTATAAATTGGTAGAATCTTCCTAGAAATCAACTGGCAATACCTTATTAAAATATATTACAATATTTGTATACTTTGATACTACAATCTAGCTTCTGGGAACTATACAACAAAACAATTGCAGATGATTAATGACAGGTGGCTATCATAATAGCAGTCAATATTTATTAGAACTCACTAGGTGCCAAGCTATGTGTAAATGAGTACGTCGCACACATCTCATTTAAATTGCCACAAGTCTGTTGGTAAGTACCATAATACTCATTTTACAAGAAAGAAACCGAGGCCTATGATTGAATTGAGGCCTAGAAATAAATGGCAGAACAAGAATTCAAACCATAGTTTTTCAACTGCCAAAGCCCATTTTCTTACTCACTACATTATACTGTGAATACTGAAAATCAAGCATTGTTTTTAATACTGAAAAAGGAGATCTAAATGGCTAACAATATTGTTAAATAAATTTTGCCCTAAGTAAGACAATATTACGTATGCATTAACATTTTTTGAAAAATAGTCCGGGCGTGGTGGCTCACGCCTGTAACCCCAACACTTTGGGAGGCTGAGGCGGGTGGATCACGAGGTTAGGAGACCGAGACCAGCCTGGCTAACATGGTGAAACCCTATGTCTACTAAAAATACAAAAAAAAAAAAAAAAAATTAGCCAGGCGTGGTGGCAGGCACCTGTAGTCCCAGCTACTCAGGAGGCTGAGGCAAGAGAATTGCTTGAACCTGGGAGGCAGAGGTTGCGGTGAGAAGAGATCATGCCACTGCACTCAAGCCTGGGTGACAGAGTGAGACTCCATCTCAAAAAAAAAAAAAGAAAAGAAAAGAAAAATAATGATATAGGAACACGCTAATATCTCAAGTAAAAAAAATCGTGGTAGCAAAAATCACAATATGAAACTGTATAGAGTAGATCCAAATTTCTTTAAACACATACACACACAAACACAAGTGAAAAGACATTCCTGAAGACTAGAAGTAAAAATCCAGACTATAAGTAGCATTTATTTCTGAATTACAACTTATTTTCTTCCTTATCTATATTCTCCAAATTTTATAAACTGAGCATGTATTACCTTTTATAATAAAAAATTATTTTAAAGTTGTTATGGCAAATACAGATGTATTTAAAACCTGGGCAGTGGTAGTGGAATCAGAAAAGAAAGAATGGGGCCGGGCACGGTGGCTCACGCCTATAATCGCAGCACTTTGGGAGGCTGAGGCAGGTGGATCACAAGGTCAGGAGATCGAGATCATCCTGGCTAACATGGTGAAACCCCGTCTCTACTAAAAATACAAAAAAATTAGCTGGGCGTGGTGGCGGGCACCTGTAGTCCCAGCTACTCGGGAGGCTGAGGCAGGAGAATGGTGTGAACCCAGGAGGTGGAGCTTGCAGTGAGCCAAGATCTCACTACTGCACTCCAGCCTGGGCGACAGAGTGAGACTCCGTCTCAAAAAAAAAAAAAAAAAAAAAAAAAGAAAAGAAAAGAAAAGAAAGAATGGTTGTGAGAAGCATTTCAAAGTAAGATGCACCGGGACTGTTGAAGAGAGAGAAGACACAAAGCTGAATGCAGGATTTTAAGCATGAGACACTAGAGAACAGTAGTGAAAGTCATCAGACTGGAGATGTTAATTCCAAGGCAAATGTTTGGCTATAAAATGTTCTAAGGGCCTAATAATTTTGAAACTACAAATGAGAGAATTATGATTTTTTTTCCCTAAAAATTCTGAAAGAAAAAAGGTCATTTTTAGCAAGAGTATAGTGTTTCATTCCTAGTTATAGAATTCAGTAAGTGAAAACAACTCAGGACTGTGTCTTTACACCAAAGGACTAAAAATAATTTTCTTGGAAAGAAAGTTGTTTTCCATAGGTCAGGAGCAATTCCCAGTGTCTGTGGAGGCTGCACCCTCTAGTGTGGACCAGTCTTTGGAAGAAAAACTCACCGGCCATATATGACTTATCATTTCTGTCCCCTACTGCTTCTACAAGGGGGAGAAGAAGGGCATATGCTAACTAAAAGGCAGGGAAGAGGCTGGGCGTGGTGGCTCACACCTGTAATCCCAGCACTTTGGGAGGCCAAGGCGGGTGGATCATGAGGTCAAGACATCGAGACCATCCTGGCCAACATGGTGAAATCCCATCTCTACTAAAAATACAAAAATTAGCTGGGCGTGGTGGTGTGAGCCTGTAGTCCCAGCTACTCAGGAAACTGAGGCAGGAGAATTGCTTGAACCCAGAAGTCAGAGGCTGCAGTGAGCTCAGATAGCGCACTGCACTCCAGCCTGGCGACAGAGCGAGACTCTTGTCTCAAAAAAAAAAAAAAAAAAAAAAAATAAGACAGGGAAGATATAGTAGCAAATTATGGTAGTAACTTCTCTGGCCACTAGTTTCTCTGAAATGCCTTGTCCTTCTTCCTATATCCTAGGGGCAATGTAGGTCAGGCCTTCAGACAATGAACCAGACTCCCTGTACTCCTGAACTCACTCCTGCCCCACACTGACTCCTCTGCTTTCCTGCCCTGATTTGACCATCAGACCTTTTATATTAGACATGATCTTGAAACTTACAGAAAAAGTACAGTGAGAAAGGTCTTTATGATAACTAACAGCTTCTCCAATTACTGCTTTAGTTGTGCCAAGAACTTAATAAAGGAGGCTTAATAATTTATAGGGGAATATCAATAAATAAACAATGTGCACACTTTACCATGTTTAGTATAAATGATATCGTCTGGAGATTAGTGAATGGAAAGGAGAGGAGATAAAAGATTTAGTAAACCTATCCTTTGGCAAGACTGCCCCTAATTTAAACATCATCATATGCATCTTAACAGTTACCACTTATGGAACACTCACTATGTGCAATGATCTTGCATTATGGTTTTATTTTCTTGTTTGGAGACAGAGTCTCACTCTGTTGGAGTGCAGTGGCGTAATCTTGGCTCACTGCAACATCTACCTCCTGAGTTCAAGTGATTCTCCTGCCTCAGCCTCCCAAGTAGCTGGAATTATAGGCACCTGCCACCAGGCTAATTTTTGTATTTTTAGTAGAGACAGGATTTCACCATGTTGGCCAGGCTGGTAACCCCTGACCTCAAGTGGTCTACCCGCCTTGGCCTCCCAAAGTGCTGGGTTCTTGCATGATCTTGAAGTGCATTATCTCATTTAACCCCAAGCAATCCCTTTGTAACAGGTTCTACTGTTACCCATTTTACAAAAGGGGAAGCCAAAGTCAAAAGAGGGTAAACAACTAGACAACAGTCACACACCTGTAAGTGGCAGGGCCAAGACAGAACAGAGAGTGTTCGCCTTCCAGCGCATGTGGTCTACTTTTCCCAAATAATATGGTTTAATGAGTCCTTACAGTAGCGGTGTTAGGCACTCTGGGTTTTATATTTCACTTAGTCCTTACCCATTATTCACAGAGGTAGATACTGTTCCACACCATTTCACAAGTGGAGAAACTAAGGCTCAGAGAGGTTATGATAAGCAATTTGCTCAAAGTCACATAAAAGTTGCAGAACTGGTACTCCAGTTTTAAAAATCTTTTCTAGTTTGGAAACTAGTAGGAAAACAATCCTAGTTACCCTTAATTATTAGAGATTTTTAAAATATCATCAGATACAGACCTCAAATTCTTAAAACAGTGATTATACAGAGATTGACAAAACTATACCAGCTTTTCCTTCTTTCCCTTTGATTTTACTTCCCACTTGTTATCTTTCATCAGAAGACATTAAAGAAGTAAAACAAAGAAAAACATCCTCGGCCAGTTTTGTTTCTTGGCAGGTAAAAAGTGACTTGATCATGAAATTACTTTTGGATTATTGGAGGGTTACGTTTATTCACATAACAACCATTCCTGATGTGATGGATAAACCAAGAAGTGGCAGCCACTGTGATTTTGTTTTATGCAAAAGCAAAGTATCATTGTTAATTTGAGAAACAGCAAAAGTGACTGCTACTTAAATGAGAGACTATACAAGGAATGAGAAAACTTTAAAAGCTTCTCACCTTTCTCTCTAAAGGATTCCTGCTAAAAGAAAACAAAAAATCTGTTCCTACCAAATGATAATAACCTGCCCCTCTAGATTAAATATTCTATTCTTAGACTTGTGGATTTTTTGTCTAGAAGACACTCAGCACATATGCCAGAGCTAACACCCCTACATCCCTCACCCAGCAGTCTCTTCCTAGGACTCATACTGCTAACCCATAATCAAGCAACTCGGGGCTGACTTGGAGATGGTCTCAGAATCTTCTTTACACATTTCTCCAAGTAGCCATCACTGATCTATCAGAAAAACAAGTGAAATAAATCATTTTCTATCTTCTAGAATGATCTGTGATAATGGAAATGTTCTGTAATGTGCACTGTTCAATACAGTAACCCCTAGCCACATGTGACTACTATGCATGTGAAATATGCCTGCTATGACTGAGGAACTGGATTTTAAACTTTATATAATTTAAAATTTAAAAGCCAGATGTAGCTAGTGGTTACCTTATTGCACAGCACAGCTCTAGACTCTCAATCAGATCTGGCTAAATGTTACGTATACAGATTTACACCTGACTAAATTTTGCACCAAGCAAATTATCTCTAGATTAAATTAAGTAAGAAAACCTCTGGTCTTTCTTTTCAGCTTCCCACTTTTTTCCAGAATGGGCAGAAGGAGTCACTGAACAAAAACGAATCTAAGCATCAATTCTGGCTTTAGAACTGCCTTGTCCTGCCTAGAGAAGACCTAAGGGCAGGGAAAATCTCCCAGTATCGGATGAGACCTTAATAAACCCTACAAGCCAATTAGGGTTCATACCTGAAGGTTTCTTCCCTAACAGGACAGAAAGATGATGATTATAGACGTTACCAGGCTACATCCACTTCTCTATCCATCTACATTTCTCCAAATAACATAACAAAACCAGCTCTGATCAAATGAAGAGAAAGTGATAAAGAGCACTTACAGGTACCTGATATACAACGATGATCAACATTTCATTGCTAAATAATTTTTTAAAAGAACAGGCTTACAGTACATGAAGAGACAGCACCACTCACAAAATCAATCACTGGCTCACCATTTTTGTTAGTAGTACAGGTTAACTGTCCCTTAACAGAAATACTTGGGACCAAAAGTGTTTTGCATTTCAGATTTTTTTGTATTTTGGAATATTTGCATTATACCAATTGAGCATCCCAAATCTGAAAACTTGAAATATCATGTAGGTGGCTCAAAAAGTTTCAAATTTTAGAGCAGTTTGGATTTTGGATTTTTAAATTAGGGACACTCAACCTATATTAGGATATTAAAGTGGAGGTCATAGCCATTGGGCCAGTTGGCTTCTCTGGGCTAATAACTAGTGTCTGTGCTATTAAATCTAGGCTTGCCAACCTACGAATTCATGTTATTGGTCACAAAGGGGTCTGGAAAACAGACAGGAGATAGTTGAAAACCTATAGCTTTTTTTTTTTTTTTTAATTGAAACCATGACTCAAAGAACATGCCCTACTGGTAAAGCTAATCAACATCTTTAAGTGAAAAACACAAGTATATACACATAAGAAGCTTATAAGTCTGTGTTTGGACCTTTAAAACGTTCTACTATAATCAATTTTAATATGCTACGTTTTAGATCCACTACAGTAATAATAACAACAAAACTATATTAATACTAATGACGGCTAAATTCAAAAACAGTTTGGGCCAGGCACGGTGGCTCACACCTGTAATACCAGCACTTTGGGAGGCCAAAGCATGTGGATCGTTGGAGCCCAGGAGTTCGAGACCAGTCTGGGCAACATGGTGAAACCCCTTCTCCACTAAAAATATAAAAATTAGCTGAGTGTGGTGGTGCATGCTTCTAGTCCCAGCTACTAGGGAGGCTGAGGTGGGAAGGATTGCTTGAGCGCAGGAGGTTGAGACTGCAGTGAGCTGAGATCACACCACTGCACTCCAGCCTGGATAATAGAGCAAGACGCTGTCTCAAACACACACACACACACACACACACACACACACACACACACACACACAAACACACACACAGTGCCTGGATAATAGAGCAAGACCCTGTCTGAAACACACACACACACACACACACACACACACAGCTTGTTCCAGGCAACATGCTAAGCATATTTTATGTATATTAACCTACTTAGTCTTCAAGACAGGTAGATGGGGAAACTGAGGTTGAGAGATAAAATAACTTGCTCAAGAACAAATAATTATTATGTGTCAGCCCCTGGATTCAATTCCTGGTCTGCCTGATGAAAATTCTCCCAATCTTGTTGTTTTAATCACTGTGTTATCTCACTGCCTTGTACCACTGAGCCTTGCGACTTAGAATTTGGTCTCTGGACCAAGAGCACCTGCATTACTGGGAGCATATTAAAAATGCAGAATCTTGGCCCAGCCACAGCCCCAGCCCCAGCCCCAGCCCCAGCTGCACTGAACCAAAATTTGCATTTTCAAGATCCACGGGAAACTTACTTGCATTGCAGAGTTTGAGAAGCACTTGTTACCAGGAATGGTAGCTAAGGAAACGAGAGAACAGGTAAAAGGAACCATTCAATGCTTCCTCTCCTCCACAAAGCTCACGGGCAGGGGATTTTCCAAAAAACAGCAGAAATGCCTTTGATGGGGTGAAGACAAGTTACAAAACAACAAAGGGGAATGAGAAGGGAAAATAGTTTCATTAGCAACTTTAAGGTTTTACTATTTCTCAATGTTGTTCAGATGCTCAAACATTAAAAAGAGTAATCATTAAATATGCCAAGAATGCAAAAGTGGACAAAACAGCTTAGGACAAACTTCAGAAAATTCCAAGATTACTTGCTATGCTGCCCTGAGAAATAGTGGTAACAACGAAAAAACAAAAAAACAAGAAATTTAAGCCTAAAAACAGTCAACTTGTTCCACATGTCTCTGCCCCTGCCTCCCTCTAGCTGGCTGCTGCTAAGTGAGTAACTGCCTGTGGGAAATCTGGTCACAAGATCCTACCTCCACCTAAGCTTTGGGGCCTGCTTGGCAGATGTTTCACCCCTTGCTCTCCTCCTCCTCCCCCTGCTCCTGCTTTTCCTCTTCCTCTGCTCCCACTCTCCTGGAGCAGCTTATCCAGATGTTCCACTCCCATTCTCTGCCTCATGTCCATTGCCACGGTGACCTCAGTGCGTTTTTCCTTTAGTACCAAATCACTGTTTATTTTAGAGCCAATCTTCCGAATAAGGCAGGTGAGCAAATATCTGAATGTGTGGGGTAGGGACACATTGCATGCATACCATCTAGACAGGTGTTTAAATTATAGCAGGAATAAATCCAGGTGATGGATTGAAAAGGGGGTAGGAGAAACCCAGAGAAAGAGGCCAATTTCCGGTGGCTGGCCCGCCCAAGTGTTACTTCTTGTTACTGCTGTTTGTTAAAAGTCGTACTGCTGCCAGCACTATAATTAAAATATGATGGAGCTTCCCTGTTGATTCTTAGAAGATACCCACCATCCACCCAGATACATAACCTTTTGGTATGTGAAGAGGGTTTGAAGACAAGCCTAGCTATTTCAATGCTGCATGCTCTCAAAAATGCTGCAGTCCCGAATGCTTAAGAGAAGTCCACACCTCAAAGATAGTAAGTGCTGTATTGCCTATCACAGGTAAAGCCTTGAGGAAAGCGCTAACGCATGTGCAGATAAAAACGTGGCCCTTCCCTGCCCTCAAGCCATGTTGGAATTTATAATTACTAGGCCAGACAAGATTGTAAGACAAAAAGCAGTATTTAAGACCTCCAGAATGCAGTAAGTGCCATAAAAGAACAGCTAAAGAAATTAAAAAATGGCATCTGGGCTGGGCCTAAAATAATAGGTAGGAGGAAAGAAAAATCGTCAGACAAGCAGGGAGAACATCTGAGAAACAGAAAGTAGTCTAATTCAGCAAAAGCTTCGCGTCATAGAAGATAGGGACAGACAGATAAACAGCTTGGGGAGGCCCTTGAATGTCAGACTAATGATTCTGTCCTTGATCTAGTAGACAACAGTAAGCCTGCTCACAGGTTCTGACAGAACCATGCTATATGAGAACCTTGGTTGCAGACCCTTCTACTCCCAAACACACACACACACATACACACACACACACACACACACACACACACACTCTTTCTTTCATTCCCTCTCTTTCCCCACCCCCTCTATTTCTCCCTCCCACCCCCTACCTCCAGTTAGCAGCTAGTTTCACCAGTTGAGTAGAAAAGTGGTTAATGTCTCTGCAAGGCTATCAAGGAAATTAGGAGTCCCAAATCACCTCTTTTTGCCTGGGCCACAAGGGAGGGACTGCTTTAGAATTCAGGGAAATAAAATGATCAGTGACTAGAGTTGAGAGATGTGTTGCTCTTGCTGTGCCCTGAATAATTTTAGAGAGGATTTTTGCTTGATCTTAAATGGATGAAATAACAGCTTTGACATACAGATGTTGTGCCTTGTGCACACAATGTGTATATTTGTTTCTTCATGCCCCTGAAACTGCAAAGGCCTAAGAAACCATTTGCAATGGACTCAAACTAATCTCAGGTTCACTAAGGATGTCTGCAAATTTCATGCATCTTATTTATCGAAATGGAGAAGAAAATTAAGCATTAAAGATTTAGGGTCAGGCACAGTAGCTCATGTGTGTAATCACAGTGCTTTGAGGGGCTGAGGCAGGAGGGTCACTTGAGGCCAAAAATTCAAGACCAACCTGGGCAACATAAGAGACCCCATCTCTACAAAATATAATTTAAAAAATTAGGCATGGTGGTGCATGCCTGTAGTCCTAGCTACTTGGGAGGCTGAGGCAGGAGGATCACTTGAGCCTGGGAATTCAAGGCTGCAGTGAACCATAATCACACCACTGTACTCCAGCCTGGGTGGCACTCTAGCCTGGGTGACAGAGCAAGATCCTGTCTCAAAAAGAAAAACAGAGAGAGAGAGAGAGAGAAGATGATTTAGTTAATAAGAGCTTAACATGGGAGTAACTGGTAGCAAAGCATTCCCAATGCAGTTTATAATCTTGCCATAGCTCAATTTCCTCATTGTAGCAGGTCCAGAAAAATTTTAGATAATTCTTGTCTGAGAAGGTCTAGGAATGCTGTTTCCTAAGATTAGTTCACTAATTCAAACTAATATTTCTCAGGCACCTACTCTGGGCTTGCCATTCTTTTGAGCATTAAGGATAAAACAATGACAAAAAACAGTCAAGTAGCACAGTCAATATGGAAAACAGTATACAGGTTCCTCAAAAAGCTAAAAATACAACAACCATATGATCTAGCAATCCCACTGCTGGGTATCAACCTAAGTGTCCATCAACGGATGAATGGATTAAAAAAAATGTGACATATATACATAGAGGAATATAGTTCGGCCACAAAAAGAATGAAATCCTGTCATTTGCAGAACATAGATGGAACTGGAGGTCATTATGTTAAATGTAATAAGTGAAGAACAGAAACACAAAAATTGCATGTTCTCACTCATATCTGGGAACTAAAAGAGTGGATTTCATGGAGATAGAGAATAGAATGATGGTTACCAGAGCTGAGAAGGGAAAAAGGGGAAGGAGAAGAGATATTGATTCATGAGTACAAAAATACAGTTAGATAAAATGAATAAGTTCTAGTATTCGAAAGTATAGTAGGAAAATTGCAGTTAACAATTTATTGTATATCTCAAAATAGTCACAAGGGAAGACTTGTTAATGTTCCCAACACAAAGAAAAGATAAATCTTTGAAGCAACGGATATCCCAATTACTCTGACTTGATCATAACACATTGTATAGATGTATCTAAACATCATATGTACCCCCCAAAATATGTAACACTGTGATATATGAATAACCCCCAAATCCTTGCCTTCATGGAGATTACAGCCTAATGTGGGGCTATCACTGAAATATATAAAGAATGTATAAAACAAAGATACTCATAGATTTGGAGTTTGGGCCAAATTATTGATATTAATGGTTATATGCTACCTAAACACTTTCAGGGGATCTTAACTTAGAGACCATAAGTCCATGGAGCATCAAGACAGAGCCTGATTGAGGGTGAAGGTATTTGAACCCTTTGAAATTAATGCAAATTTATAAGTTTGAGTGTATATTTTTTCAGGAGGAGGAATAAAGCTTTAATTAGATTCTCCAAGAGACTTCTGAATCCAAAAAGGTTAAGAATCACTTCAACTGATAAAAGGATAAATTTGTCTAAATGTGCATTCATATTATCCTCAAAACTACCTCAATGTCATTTGAAAATAATGTTCTCTGTGGTGTTCATATATAAAGAATATATATATATATATTCCTTATATATATCCTGATATGTATAGCTATATCAAAATCTGACAGGATCAGCTGGGCATGGTGGCACACACCTATAATCCAGCACTTTGGGAGGCCAAGGCAGGAGGATCACTTGAGCCCAGGAGTTCGAGATCAGTCTGGGCAACACAGTGAGACCTCACCTCTATATAAAAATTTTAAAAAATAAGAAAAAAAGAATATGACTGGATCAATTGAACATGCCATAGCTTTGATTCCTGCAGCCATGGGGCTCTGAATGATCTGGAACAGGATCTGTTCCTGTTTTCACCTGTTTTGCTAGAGCAAAAGGTAATCCTTGAATAGGAAATATCAGTGGACCAAGATCTGTTTCACTCAAGGTAAAAGAAGAGGAAAACCAAAAGTGCCAGATCTGCACCAATTACAAGATTTTCACCAATGGAGAAATATTAGAGAATATATTCAATCAGAAAAATGAAAAGAACTATCTTAAACAGTTACATTTTGAACAGTCCTCCAAAAGCACTTCACGAGCATTTATTAAATCACTAGCCACAATTCAATTCCTTCTTCAATTCCTGGATGCTGATAAAATAAACCTCAAGAAATTCACACTCCAATCACCAGGAGAGAAGGGTTAAATGTTAATTATATTTTAAAGGGGGTCAGGAAAAGCAGGGAATCTCTGCAGTTCCAATACCTCAGCACTAAATTCTCTTGGCATATCTTCTCTTTCTGCTGAGCTCCATCATTTTCATAATATACGTATATATATAGACATTTAGTGTTCCAAAATCCAGACAGAGTTCCAGATCAAGATTTGCCAGAGACATTCCTGGGAAACCTGACAAAATGGGCAAATCTCTTCGTAGGGTTTCCAATTTATACATGTAGATTTTGTGTGTTGACAGGGGGAGTTGCTGCTGCCATCATAAGATCTATTCTTATTGCATCTCTAGTGATTAACAAGGCTGAGTTTTGTCTGGTCGAAGAATCAGTTGACTATACTATAAAATAATCTGATGAGGAGTTTGCCCAACAAATAACTGATAATTCTCAACAGAGCCACATGTTTTGCAAGCTGCTTCAAGAACTAGAGAAGCATTTCAAATCAAGAAAACAAAGTTCAACTCCTTGTTTCTCTGAGCAGGCACAAGTATAGGCTTGGCTACAACTCTGTAGCAACATCATGGAACAACAAGCTCACAGGGTGAAGTTCGGTCACTTTCGTCTAATGAGAGGTTTGAGTCCTTATTCACACCGAAAGAGACAGAAAAACACTGAGGTAAAGAGCACAGAGTCAGACAGAGCTGAGTTTGAGTCTTAGCACAGTAACTTGCCATCTGTGTGACATTAGCAGAGTCACTTATCCTACCAGCTTCTATTTCTTCATCTTAATTGGCAAAAAGTAAGTACCTACACCTCATTAGGGTTAAAGAGATAATGCATATAAAGTCCTTGGCACAGTGCCTAGTACAAAGTAAGCATCTGATTAATGTCAACTGCTTAATTATGAAGGGCAGGTATGGTGTTATCAATGAAAAAATTTTGACACAGGGTCTTTCTTACTTTGTAGCCGAGGTTGGAGTGCAGTGGTGCAGTTATGGCACACTGCAGCTCTTGGGCTCAATCGATCCTCCCACCTCAGCCTCCAGAGTAGCTGGGACTACAGGCACGTGCCACCGCACCTGGCTAATTTTTGTCTTTTTTGTGGAGTTGGGGTTTTGCCATGTTCCCCAGGCTGGCCTAGAACTCCCGAGCTCAAGCGATCCACCCACCTCGGCCTCCCAAAGTGCTGGGATTATAGGAGTGCGCCACTGCACCCAGCCATCAATCGTTTTTAAAGAAAATATAAAAACCTACAAAATGTAAAAAAGAAATTCTTTTCAATTTAGCAAGCATGTGATGACTGCCAAGTGAAAGGCCTTGCGCTAGGTGATGAGTTAGAAAGAACTGCATCATGTAGTTTAGTGCAAAACAGGAAAGAAAAGATGCAAAATAATTATAATAGATCTGTTATAAAAAGTAATGAAGGAATGAAGGAGCACACAGAATAGAAAGATGACTTCTGGCTAAGGCAGCAGAGGGTTCTTCATTTACTTATTTATTCAAAAAATACGTACTGAGTGCATACTATTAATATCTAGCAGGCTGGGAAAAAACTGGTGAAAAAAATGGACATGATCCAATTCTCAATGAATTACCTTGTAGTCCAGTCGAATCAGCACATTTTTTGAGTACTACCAATGAGTCAGGTGCTGAGGCAGCAAAGGACACTGCCCTCAAGGAGTTCACTGTCTGTTAAAAGAGAGAGCTATCTTGACATACCTAGTGTGATGAGTGAAAGAGTATGCATATGAGTGAAGTGGCATCTACACTGAGCCTGGACAGATGCCCAGATTAGACATGGCAACTGGGGAACATTTTCCATGAGAAGATAGCATAAGGCATGGAGACTAACAGAAATTCTAGTTGAGCTGCACAAAAACATGTGTGATAGTAGGGAGACAGGCTGGAAAAGTAGCCTGGAGCCAGATTCTAAATAAAGGCTTTGAATCACATTTAACAGCCTGGGCTTCCCATTATAGACAACAGAAGGCCCTCGAGATTCTTAAGCAGAAGAGTACCATGATGAGACTTGTGATTTAGGAAAGGATCCATTATGGCCGGGCACAGTGGCTCACACCTGAATTCCCAGCACTTTGAAAGGCTGAAGCGGACAGATCACTTGAGGTCAGGAGTTTGAAACCACTCTGGCCAAGATGGTGAAACCCCATCTCTACTAAAAATACAAAAATTAGCCCGGCATGGCGGCAGGCATCTGTAATCCCAGCTACTTGGGAGGCTGAGGCAGGAGAATCACTTGAACCTGGGAGGCAGAGATTGTAGTGAGCTGAGATCGCGCACCACTGCACTCCAGTCTGAGCAACAGAGTGAGACTGCATCTCAAAAAAAAAAAAAAAAGAATCTTTCAGAGCAAAGCAAAGACTAGGGTGAACAGGAAGAGACTGGCCAAGAAACCAGTGAAAAGGTAATTGCAGCTCTCCATCCAAGAGATAATAAAGGCCTTAAGCAGGACAGTAGATGGAAAAGTGAAAAACAGGATAGGTATCAGAGACACTGTAGAATCTTGACAACTGCCTGGACATAGAATGAGGAAGTGAAGAGAGGCACTGATAAACCAATGGCTCCATTCCTAAATTCCCTGGGATTCTAGAATTCCAAGAATTGCAATGTCACTAATATAGAGAAGAACAAAAAGAGGCAAATAAGTTTTAAATATGTTTAAGACTTTTCTGAGTATTTTCAAAATATGTTCAAAATACATCAAGTATTTTGAATGTTCTGCAATATAGTTAGGTAGAAATGTCTCACAGGTGGAAATGTGGACCTGACTCTCAGCAAAGGCTCAAACTAAAGATATATACTTGGGAGAAATCCATAGAGAAGTACCAGGATGAAATCACAGGAAAAGGAACTTTATCCCAGGGGAAAGTATGGAGAGGAAAAAGAAGTTCTGAGGATTACAGCCTAGAATTCAGAGATATGCTGGAGGATCCCAAAAGACCAGGGAGAAGCAGATGCCCAGGGGCCACTCCACCTTCTTCAACCAGAGCCACTCTGCTATGATCAACTTTATACACATAAGATCTATATGCCAGTGGCTCTGAAAAACATGTTGAAAATGGAATCTAGTTTTCAGGGAGAGCAGGAGGAAGCAATGATTTCTCAGAGGAATTACTGAAGGGTTAGAAAAGCTAAGGGAAATTTTCACCTAAGAAGCCGTTGATAATAGTGCCACATGCTAAAGGAAGAAGATTAAAAATAGTGACTGAAGTTGGCAATTCTGAGGTCATGAGTGGCCTTTGAGAGAGAGATGGACAAATGTAAGAGATGAAGTCAGACTGCAAGAGCAAGTGTGTAGGGGTGGAGGGGCAGAAGGGAGACTAGAGCCAACAAGGGTGTGTTATTTTAAAAGAAGTTTGGCAGTACAAGTAAGATGAGTTTAAAGGGGTGGCAGAGTAAAACAAAGGCTATTTTAAAACAAGAGACCATGCAGTAGGCCAGGAACTAAAGAAAATGAGAGCTTCAAGCCTCAAGACCTAGAAAAGCTAGGAAATTAGATCAGATCAACTGGAGCCAGGTCCTGGAACAGAGAGGCACAAGTAGCCAAGAGAAGAATTGGTCTTGATACCAAAACTACCCCATTTTACAGATGAGGAAATCAAGGCACAGGGAGGTTAAACAACTTGTCCAAGGTCTTGCTGACTCAAGAGCTTATGCCTTTTTCTATTTACCCTTTCCTGCTTCTAGAAATGGGAAAGAATAATGTATATGGTAAAAAGAACAACAACTTTTTCTACTAAGAAAGAATATGAAACTAAAGGAACTAGGGTTAACAAACGGCCACAAAATCTGAGCACAAATGTACCTAAGTTCAAATGTGTCCAGATAAACTAAGGAGGCAGAAAGAGTTTCCAGTGCCAATTGCTGAAGCTTGTGATAAACTGGGCGCCATCTGCCTCAATCCTAGAGAACATCTGTAACCATTTCAAAGATTTAGCTCCGTCTCTCTTCATTTGGAATTTCTGAAATTGAGATTCACTCAGGGTCCACTGTGGACCCTTACGGTGTTAGCTGCGGAAGCAGAAGAAATGATAAAGAATTCCTTTGTATAGAGAGAGTGAGAGAGTTTAACTGCTGTGAATCAAGCTTTATGTACCTCCGCATCTATCTTTCTCTAGGACCAGGCAGGGAAGTCTCAGGGTAAGGAGCAAGAAAAATGAAAGAAATAGAATGGATTTTTTTTTTCCCACTCTCCATCTAAATGAAAAATGTGAAGAGCAAAAAGTATCTCCTCCCCTCTCTGTATCTGTCAGCACATTTCCAGGAGGCCTGGCCACATCCCGGGCACTGGCTGGTTGGGGAGCAGAGACTGACACAGCACATTCGTTCACACTGGAGCCCCCGCCTGGGTGGTCTGCTGTTATCCCTTTGATTAAACTCCCAGGCTGGAAGAGCTGGAGTTGCTCCTAATGATAGCTGGGTCCTGCAGTCTCAGGCTTGCCTGCACGGAGAGGGCCAGCGCTCCCTCTGATTCCCTGCCTCCCACTTCTCACCACAAAGCTGGGCTAATTCACCACATTCTTCTGTTCACTAATGGCAATAACCACAAAGGGCTACATCTCTTCAGAGCACTACACTCCCTTCCAGCATGGAGTCAGGCAGAGATAGTGAGACTTCACACGGAAGCTCAGTACCCTATTGGCCACCACGACACTTCTCCTGCCCCCAGCCCAGGTGCAAGATGTTTCTAGAAAACCCTGCTTTCAGGGACATACACATAGATTTCCAAAAAATCTCATCTCCAAAAGACAACCAGCCTCTCTTGGGCCAAGGGAAAGAATTAAATTTGACCTGCTCTCTGCTCAGATTTCTAAGTTATTTGTTGAATGGTGGTAGTTGAGAACATTTATCTCTTTATATTTCAAGTATACACGTGCTTGCACAGATTTTTTGAAGTGGCCGCTGCTCACATGGCAGGGAAAGTTTGATATTTTTATGTGTTTTAGGCTATAAACAAAGTTAAATCACAGCAGGAGTAGTAGTAACTACACAGGATATGAGCTTCTGTTTTTGCCACACAGATTTCTTAAGAATCTAACCTCTAATGTAAATTCTGAGTCCCTCTATGTTTTATCATCAAATTTTTGGCTTGTCAGAATACTTTGCTTCTTTACCTTTAGCTAGTTCACTGTTCCTCATTATCTTCACCAGCGAGCATGGAGGAAAAAGGAGTGGCACTGCCTCATCCTCCAAATCCATCCTCTTCAAGCTACCTGAGTGGTCCAGCTAAAAGGCAAAGCAATTGTGTCTCAGAGAATCTCCATCATCTAAGAGACAAAGGACAAGTTCCTTCACACGGCATGAAAGCTCTCCCTGAACCAGCCCTTGCCTTCTCGCCCAACTTCATTCCTAGCTAGTCCCTGCTGACTCTCCATCCTGTGACATCCTTAGCCTGTCACTCGTTTCGCTACATATGCACAAGTGAGTTTTTATTCTGTAAACTGTTTCTCCCCTTCTTCTGCCATCTACCTGCCTATCTTTAAGATTCAGTTTAGATATAATCTCTTCCAAGAAGGCTAGTTCAGCTTTTTCCCCATTCCCACCCACAAGCTGGGTTCGGGGCCTCTTTTAGTGGTTGTTATTCCCTCAGACTATCTCTGTCATGCATATTCCATGTTACTATTACCATCTGTTTATGTAGCTGCCACCATTACAAGAGAGTGAGTTATTTCATGCTGAGGACTATGTGTTATATCATCCCCATGGCTTAGTACCAAAGCCTGGAAGACTCTTAAGAGCCTAGCAAAATGTTTTTTAAATACATACATATACACATGCACACACAAACACAATGAAATAAAAAGTTTTGCAGGAAATGCCACTAAAAGTTTTAATAGGCTAAGCAGTTGAAATTGTAGGCCAAATATAATGATTTTTCAGAAATACCCAACAACTTCAATATTCTATACTCATCTTCCAAAATAGCACAAGTAATTTAAATTCAACTTTGCTTGCTTAGTAGAATATCTCTTAACTCCTTGCCCAGAAAGCCAATTAAAGATAGATCAGAATTTATGTAATATAATGAGAGCAATGTTCAGAGAAAAATTCATAGCTTTTATATAGTGAAAAAAATACCAAGAGTGAATGAAAATAAATGAAGCATTTAACTCAAGGTGGGGAGAAATATTGAAATAGTGGAACAAAGTTAAGGAAAGCAGAAAGAAGGAATTAGTAAAGATAAGGCAAGAAAATAATGAATTAGAAAACAATAGAATGAATAAACATATCCAGAATAAATCTTATTTTTAAAAGGGGAGAAAATATTAATTAAACCTATTAGAAAAGGGAAAACAAAAAAAAGAAAGCACAAACAGAAAATAAGAATCGAGAATATGAAAACAGGTAAGAGGAAACAAAAAACATTTAAAGTGATTACTGGACACAAACTTGTTTCTGATAATAGCTAAGTTTAAGTTTTCAGGCCCTAACTCCAGAGAGAAGAGCAGAACTCTCACCACTTTCTGACTGGAAATCTACCTCTTTCTAGAAAGCTACAGACATTGTATCACTTGACTCAGTGAGTAAGAAACTAAAGCAACTTTCTTTTTAAATATAACTAGAGAAAAAGGGAAACTGTTAGTAAACAAATATACCAGAATCTATACTAAACCATTATAACATGTTATTAGTTATTTACCAGAAAAAGAATAATCAATGACAGAATTTTCCAAATTCCAAATTAAGGAATCACTTTCTCTGAAGGGAAAGGGTTGAATAACCTATAATTGAGCTTTGCAACACAAAATACAGAGGGTGGGGGGAAGTAGGGATGGTTAATGGGTACAAAAATATAGTTAGCATGAATAAGATCTAGTATTTGATAGCACAACAGGGTGACTACAGTCAACAATAATTTATCGTACATTTTAAAGTAACTAAGAGTATAACTGGATTGTCTGTAATACAAAGAAAGGATAAATGCTTGAGGTGATGGACACCTTTACCCTGATATGATCAACACACACTATATGCCTGTATCAAAATATCTTATGCACCCCAGGAGATTGGCCTTGTTGGCTGCGTGGGAAATGGGTGAGGTCTGCCACTGCTGGCTTTCCCCTACTTCCCTGGTGACCTGTATGATGCAGCAGGGGCAGCCATAATCCCTCTGGGAACGTAACTCCATGGGCCTGAGAACCACACCCCCATCCCCCACAGCAAAAGCAGCAAGCCCTGTCCAAGGAGAGTCTCTGAGCTTGGGCATGCCTAACTCTGCCCCAACCTGATGGTCTTTCTCTACCTGTCCTGGTAGCTGAAGAAAAAAGACGTAATATCTTGGGAGCTCTGTGGCCCCGCCCACCACCTGAGACACTCAAATACTTAACCAAGGCGACCTTAGGGCAAGCTTGTATCAGCTGATGCTCTCTTGAAAGCGCCACCTCCTGGCTGGAGGTCAAAAAACCACTAGCACAACCAGCGCTCAAGAAAACCAGCTCACTGAACAAAACTACAACAAAGGACCCTCACAGAGTCCACAGAGCTCACTCCCCTGCTACCTCCACCAGATCAGGTGCTGGTATCCATGGCTGAGAGACCTGAAGATGGATCACATCACAGGACTCTTCACAGAAACTTGCCAGTACCAGCCCAGAGCCCAGCAGCTCTGCTGGGGGGCTAGACCCAGAAGGGCAGTAACAATCACTGCAGTTTGGCTCTCAGGAAGCCCCATCCCTACTAGGGGAAGAAGAGAACACCACATCAAGGAACCAACCAGTGGGACAAAAGAATCTGAACAGCAGCCCTTCAACCCAGACCCTCTGATACAGACTACCCAGATGAGAAGGAACCGGAAAAACAATTCTGGTAATATGACAAGGCAAGGTTCTTTAACACTCCCAAAAGATCACACTAGCTCACTAGCAACGGATCCAAAGAAGAAATTTCTAAGTTGCCAGAAAAAGAACTCAAAAGGTCGATTATTTACCTATTTAAGGAGGCACCAGGGAAAGGTGGAAACCAATTTAAAGAAACTAAAAAAATAATAATAATACAGGACATGGACCAAAAAATCTCCAGGGAAATAGAGAGCATCGATAAAAAACAATCATAACTCCTGGAAATAAAAGACACACTTAAAGAGATGCAAAATACACTGGAAAGTTTCAACAATAGAATCAAAAAAGTAGAAGAAAGAACTTCAGAGCTCGAAGACAAGGCTTTTGATTAACCCAATCCAACAAAGACAAAGAAAAAGGCATCCCCAAAAATGAACAAAGCCTCCAAGAAGTTTGGGATTATGTTAAACGACCAAACCTAAGAATAACTGGTGTTCCCGAGGAAGAAGAGAAATCTAAAAGTTTGGAAAACTTATTTGGGGGAATAATCGAGGAGAACTTCCCTGGCCTTGCCAAAGATCGAGACATCCAAACAGGAGAAGCTCAAAGAACACCTGGGAAATTCATCGCAAAAAGATAATCACTTAGACACATAGTCATCAGGTTATCTAAAGTCAAGACAAAGGAAAGACTCTTAAGAGCTATAGGCAAAAGCATGAGGTAACCTATAAAGGAAAACCTATTAGATTAACACCAGATTTCTCAGCAGAAACCCTAAAAGCTAGAAGGGAGTGGGGTCCTATGTTTAGCCTCCTTAAACAAAACAATTATCAGCCAACAATCTTGTATCCAGTGAAACGAAGCTTCATAAATGAAGGAAAGATAGTCTTTTTCAGACAAACAAATGCTGAGAGAATTAGCCACTACCAAGCCAGCACTACACAAACTGCTAAAGAAAGTTCTAAATCTTGAGACAAAACCTCGAAATACACCAAAATAGAACCTCCATAAAGCACAAATCCTACAGGGCCTATAAAACAATAACACAATGCAAAAATCACCAGGTATTCAGGCAACAACTAGCATGATGAACAGAATAGTGCCTCACATCTCAATAATAATGTTGAATGTAAATGGCCTAAATGTTCCCCTTAAAAGATACAAAATCTGCTGTCTTCAAGAAACTCAACTAACATATAAGTTCAGGAAACTCATCTAACACATAAACTCACATAAACTTAAGGTAAGGGAGTGAAAAAAGATATTCCATGCAAATGGATAACGGAAGTGAGCAGAAGTAGCTATTCTTACATCAGACAAAGCAAACTTTAAAGATTCAAAGCAATAACAGTTTAAAGAGACAAAGAGGGACATTACGTAATGATAAAAGGACTAGTCCAATAGGAAAATATCACAATCCTAAATACATATGCGCCTAACACTGGAGCTCCCAAATTCATAAAACAATTACTACTAGACCTAAGAAATGAGATAGACAACAACACAATAATAGTGGGAAACTTCAATACTCCACTGACAGCACTAGGCAGGTCATCAACACAGAAAGTCAACAAAGAGACAACAGACATAAACCATACCCTAGAACAAATGGAGTTAACGGATATTTACAGAACATTCTACCCAGCAACTGCAGAATACACATTCTATTCATCAGCACATGAAATATTCTCCAAGATAGACCACAAGATAGGCCACAAAACGAGTCTCAACAAACTTAAGAAAATCAAAATTATATCAAGTATTCTCTCAGACCACAATGTAATAAAACTGGAAATCAACTCCAAAAGGAACCCTCAACACCATGCAAGTACATGGAAATTAAATAGTCTGCTCCTGAATGGTCATTGGGTCAACAATGAAATCAATATGGAAATGTAAAAATTCCTTGAGCTGAATGATAACAGTGACACAACCTATCAAAATCTCTGGGATACAGCAAAAGCGGTGCTAAGACGAAAGTTCATAGCTTTAAATGCCTACATCAAAAAGCCTGAAAGAGCTCAAATAGACAATCTAAGGTCACATCTCAGAGAACTAGAGAAACAAGAACAAACCAAACTGAAATCCAGCAGAAGAAAAGAAATAACAAAGATCAGAGCATAACTAAATAAAATTGATACAAACAAAAAAACCCAATACAAAAGATAAATGAAACAAAAATCTGGTTCTTTGAAAAAAAAATAAATAAACAAAATTGACAGACCACTAGCAAGATTAGAAGAGAAGAAGAAAAGAAGAGAGAAGATCCAAATAAACTCAATTAGAAGGGAAGCAAGAGATAGTACAACCAACACCACAGAAATACAAAAGATAACTCAAGGCTACTATGAACACCTTTACGTGCACAAACTAGAAAACCTAGAGGAGACGGATAAATTCCTGGAAATATACAACCCTTCTAGATTAAACCAGGAATAAATAAAAACTCTGAACAGATAACAGCAAGCAGCAATATTGAAATGGCAATTTAAAAATTGCCAATAAAAAGAAGTCCAGGACCAGATGGATTCACAGCTGAATTCCATCAGGCATTCAAGAAGAATTAGACGAATCTTATTGAAACTATTCCAAAAGACAGAGAAAAAGAGAATCCTCCCTAAATAATTCTATAAAGCCAGTAACACCCTAATACCAAACCCAGGAAAGGACATTAACAAAAAAAGAAAACTACAGACCAATATCTCTGATGAATACAGATGCAAAAATCCCCAACAAAATTCTAGGTTGTTACACAAGTAATTGCAGTTTCTGCCACTAACCTAATCCAACAGCATATCAAAAAGATAATCCACCTTCATCAAGTGAGTTTCATACCAGGGATGCGGGCATGGTTTAACATACGCAAGTCAATAAATGTGATATACCACATAAACAGAATCAAAGACAAAAATCACATGGTAATCTCAACAGACACAGAAAAAGCATCTGACAAAATCCAGCATCTCTTCATGATTAAAACCCTCAACAAAATTGGCATAAAATGGACATACCTTAAGGTAATAAAAGCCATCTATGACAAACCCACAACCAACATTATACCAAAAGTAGAAAAGTTGAATATATTCCCCTTGAAAACTGGAACAAGACAAGAATGCCCATTTCACCACTTCTATTCAACATAGTTCTGGAAGTCCTAGCCAAAGCAATCAGACAAGAGAAATAAGGGCATTCAAATCATTAAAGAGGAAGTCAAACTGTTGCTGTTTGCCAATATGATCATATACCTAGAAAACCATAAAGGTTCACCCAAAAAGCTCCTAGATCTAATAAATAAATTCAGTAAAGTTTCAGGATACAAAATCAATGTACACAAATCAGTAGCACTGCTATACACCAACTGCCGCCAAGCTGAGAATCACATCAAGAATTTAACCCCTTTTACAACAGCTGCAAAAAATAAAATAAAATACTTACGGATATACCTAACCAAGGACGTGAAAGACCTCTACAAGGAAAACTACAAAACACTGCTGAAAGGAATCACAGATGACACAAACAAATGGAAACACATCCCATGCTCATGGATGGGTAGAATCAATATTGTGAAAATGACCACACTGCCAAAAGCAATCTACAAATTCAGTGCAATTTAATACCATCATCATTCTTCACAGAACTAGAAAAAACAATCCTGAAATTCATATGGAACCAAAAAAGAGCCTGCATAGCCAAAACACAACTAAGCAAAAAGAACAAATCTAGAGGCATCACATTACCCAAATTCAAACTATACTAAAAGGATATAGTTACCAAAACAGCATGGTACTGGTATAAAAATAGGCACATAGACCAATAGAACAGAATAGAAAACCCAGAAATAAAGTCAAATACTTAACAGCCAACTGATCTTTGACAAAGCAAACAAAAAACATAACCTGGGGAAAGGACACCCTATTCAACAAATGGTGCTAGCATAACTGGCAAGCCACATGTAGAAGAATGAAACTGGATCCTCATCTCTCACCTTACACAAAAATCAACTCAAGATAGATGAAAGACTTAAATCTAAGACCTGAAACCATAAAAATTCTAGAAGATAACATCAGAAAAACCCTTCTAGACACTGGCTTAGGCAAAGACTTCATGGCCAAGACCCCAAAAGCAAATGCAACAAAAACAAAGATAAATAGATAGAATTTAATTAAACTAAAAAGCTTCTGCAGGCAAAAGAAATAATCAGCAAGGAAACAGACAACCCACACAGTGGGAGAAAATCTTCACAAACTATGCATCCAACAAAGGACTAATAGCCAGAATCTACAAGGAACTCAAACAAATCAGCAAGAAAAAAATAATTCCATCAAAAAGGCTAAGGACATGAATAGACAATTCTCAAAAGAAGATATACAAATATCCAACAAACATATGAGAAAATGCTCAACATCACTTATTATCAGGGAAATGCAAATCAAAACCACAATGCAATACTACCTTACTCCTGCAAGAATGGCTATAATTAAAAAGTCAAAAAATAATAGATGTTGGCATGGAAGAGGTGAAAAGGGAACACTTTTACACT
Source organism: Homo sapiens (assembly GCF_000001405.40). Classification (NCBI taxonomy): domain Eukaryota; kingdom Metazoa; phylum Chordata; class Mammalia; order Primates; family Hominidae; genus Homo; species Homo sapiens. The sequence goes on along the minus strand of NC_000014.9, from coordinate 75,796,049 downwards.
GTTGGTGGGAATGTAAACTAGTACAACCATTATGGAAAACACTATGGAGATTCCTTAAAGAACTAAAAGTAGATCTACCATTTGATCCAGTAATCCCACTACTGGGTATCTACCCAGAGGAAAAGAAGTCATTATATGAAAAAGATACTTGCACATGCATATTTATAGCAACACAATTTGCAATTGCAAAAATATGGAACCAGCCCAAATGTCTATCAATCAATGAGTAGATAAAGAAAATGTGGTGTGTATATATATACACCATGGACTACTACTCATCCATAAAAAGGAACAAAATAATGGTATTCGCAGCAACCTGGAGGGAGCTGGAGACCATTATTCTAAGTGAAGTAACTCAGGAATGGAAAACCAGACATCATATGTTCTCACTTATAAGTAGGAGCTAAGCTATGAGGACACAAAGGTACAAGGATTATATAATGGACTTTGGGGACTTGGGGGGAAGGGTGGAAGGAGGGTGAAGAATAAAAGACTGCACATTGGGTACAGTGTACACTACTTGGGTGATAGGTGCACCAAAATCTTGGAAATCACCACTAGAGAGCTTATCCATGTAACCAAACACCACCTGTTCCCCCAAAAACCTACTGAAATAAAAAAAATCGTATGTACCCCATAAATATATACACCTATGTACCCACAATAATTTTTGAAAAACTACTAAAAAGTACACTTTATCTAAAAACTTGTTTCTAACCAAATTAGAAGCCATTTACTATTGAAAGCCTTTTATGGCTGAAATAACAATATTTTCCACATATATTGCATTTAGAGGTTTTGCATAATATCCTCATGACCCTGTTGTATTTTCCTCATCAATCAGTGAAGACCCTGAGGTTAAGAGAAGTTGAGTGAACTGCTCAAGATCACACAGCTAGTCAGTGGCAGGAGAACAGTAGAGTGAACTGTCCAAGATCACACAGCTAGTCAGTGTCAGAAGAGTAGAATGAACTGTCCAAGATCACACAGCTAGTCAGTGTCAGAACAATGGAATTAACTGCCCAATATCACACAGGAGTCAGTGGCAGGAGAACAGTGGGGTGAACTGCCCAAGATCACACAGCTAGTCAGTGTCAGAAGAGTAGAGTGAACTGTCCAAGATCACATAGCTAATCAGTGACAGAACAGTGGCATGAACTGCCAAAGATCATACAGGAGTCAGTGTCAGAATAACAATGGAGTGAACTGCTCAAGATCACACAGGAGTCAGTGGCAAGTCTCTGGATGGCTAATCTAGCTCTTTCTCCACTACTCCATCCTGCTTATTACATCCTACAGCACCTCCCTCAGTACTGACCACCCTATTACCAAGACTCTAAAAGTTAACACTGACATCTAATGGCAAGTTCAGATCCCTACAAACCATAGTCTAATGGACTTTTAATTCGCTGGCACTGAAGTTCTTTATAGACGAAAAAAATGAACTGAAGGGGGATGACTTCCCAATCAGGATACAGTCACCTTGGATTCCTACAGGATTAGGATCTTTTCACTTTGTAGGCTTTGCAGTCTAGTGAACGATAGGAGCTAGATAGGTAAGCACTAATATTGGCTATTTTGGGTATTTTTTTTTTTTTTTTACTACAATCACAAAATCTCAATGTCTTGGTGCTTCTAGCTGCCCATTTATAAACCGGAAACATATAATCTAGTTAGTGACCCAATGATAAAAGTGTAGCAGAGCACTGGCCTTTCCCGTCTCATAGCCACTTATTTAATTTGAAAATTCCTTCCCATCATATCTTAGTATCCTATTCCCTCTTCCCATAATTCTATCACTAAAATCTAACTACCCAACTCCCTCCAAGAATCAACATTGTTCTTATAATATTCTTTGCTTCCTATTTCACATTAGGCCTTCTTATTTACTCCCTTCAAACAACTAAGGATTTGAGAAAGAAAATAATTACTGCTTCACACGCTGGGATGAGGCTGAAGTAAAACTAATTCCATGAGAGGCTTAGCTTTAGTTTTGGTCCTAAATTTTATACAGATAAGTAGGGTACCACCAGGGAGCAGTGTGTTGCCTACTTTTAGCATGTACTTAAAGTAATTTTCAGCTTCACTTTTTTCGAGACTTGATTATCACTACAGAGTTACTACCAATTAAGGAATTTGGCACATCAGCAACATAGCAAAATATAACTGTGGAGTTAAATTATGATAATTCCTTTGGAGGACTTTGATGCCATTTAACATTAAGGAATAAGAGATATGGCTTTTCCTTCAATTAAACACCATAGGGATAACCAGCAAGAAGGACAAAGAGAATTCACAAAGCTCTTGAAAGTGTCATCTACCTTCACTGTGTTGCAAGATTGTTAATATCTATATAGCATAAGGACAATATCCTGTTATTTATTTCTATCCACCCAGCTTGTTGAATGACCTTGATCACATCACTTATTTCAGCCTCAGGTTCCCCCATCTGTAAAATGGGGAGAATGATATTATATTGGATAAGGGTATAATGAAATATGAAATTAATCAGTTACCCATAAAACATCCTGAGATCATGAAATAAGAGGCAGTATAGAAAAAAATTTTTTTAAAGGGTAATGTTATAAAATTCTGGTAAAAAGATTTATAAGACTAGAACTCACTGGAAAATTTTACCAAAGAAAAGAACTTATTTTTAAAGATCCTTTAAAATTATATTTACAGATGAACATTCAAGTCTGTTTATCCATGAAATAGGTACATCATATCCAGTAGCAGACTTACTTCACAATGCCTGTAACAGAAAGTTATTTTCTTTAAATTTGAAGAGGAAAAACTTGATAATTTAGCTTGAAACCAACTATTAATAATACTCATTCAAGAGGCATCAGTATATGGGAATAGTAAAGACAGGGAAAGACAAAGTACCCTGTCATTAATTCTATCCTCAGGTCCAAAGAGCTCTTGGACACCCCAGACCATCCGTACCTGTTGGGTGAGGAGGTTGATGTGGCTGGATGGAGAATACTGTCTCGCTGCCTGCTTCTCAGCTAGCCGCTGAAGTTCAGCTGTAACCATACTTTGGTTGTACCGTTTGCTATATAAAGAAGCATCTTCTCCCTCTTTTTGTGTTTTGGCTATTCCTGAATGATGCTTGTTTAGATAGCACGATCCTGCTAAAACGGAGAAAAGTTTTCACTCATTTAGGAAAAAAAGGCCTGAAAAAAATTAGGATAATGACAGAAATCTCAGGTCAACAGATACTTTACTGAACCCTAAGGATCTTTAATAATATAGGAGAAATAAACTATCTTCAAATGATCACAAAAATAAATGGTTACCATAACCTAGAAACTCTTCCTATTACCAAACTGCCACATGCATTATTTATTAATATGTTTTTGCTTATAATGAAAGCTTCACAAAGAAGAATTTTCATTATATGTAGTGGGGAATACCAATCCTATAATTTGCTAATCTTACTGAATAAAAAATACATATTTGAAACTCATTATAATTCTTGTTTTTCTTGTTATGTAACTGTACTTGTCAACAGTCTGTGGCATCCACTGTCAAATCATCCATAATACTTAGAAAGCTCAAAAGGGAAACAGGGATAAAAACAAAATCGAGTATACTCAGAAAAATAACAATAATCTTATATTTTCTTTTTTTTTTTATATTTTTAGTCAAAACATGTTTTCTTTTTTATTATTATTATACTTTAAGTTCTAGGGTACATGTGCACAACGTGCAGGTTTGTTACATATGTATACATGTGCCATGTTGGTGTGCTGCACCCATTAACTCGTCATTTACATTAGGTATATCTCCTAATGCTATCCCTCCCCCCTCCCCCCACCCCATGATAGGCCCCAGTGTGTGTATATTTTCAAATGACTGATTTCCCTTTCAGATTTAAATTTTCTTCTTTCAACTGTAATATCAGAGCATTCTATTATTTAAGCACTGAAATTCTGGCAAAAAGAAATTATTTAATATAAAATCAAGATTCAGCTGAGCACAGTGGCTCATGCTTATAGTCCCAGCTACTTGGGAGGCTGAGGCAGGAGGATTGCTTAAGCCCAGGAGTTCAAGGTTACAGTGAGCTATGATCATGCCACTGCACTCCAGCCTGTGTGACAGAAAGAGAACCTGTCTCTAAAAATAAAATAAAATAAAAATTCACATTTTTCCTGATTGTAAAAGTCACATCTCTTCAAAAAAAATCTTTAAACTCAGAAAAGTAGAAATAATATAACCTATTTCCTGTCTTTTTAAAATTAATGCTAATATAACAATGATCATTCTGCATATACAACTGATTTTCTGAATCTGTAACTTTTTCACGTTTACTATATTATTTAGTACATACAAAATATTTATAATAGCTGTATATGTAGTTATATGCATACTGTAATGAACACCTGTGAACTCACTACCCAACCCAGGAATTACATTATCAACAATATGTACTAACCTATGTGGTTGTTCCTCCCCATTCCTAATCTCCCCTTATCAAACATTCTTTTAAAAAAAAAAGTTTTATCAAATATATTTGTGTGTATATGCATATACAAACAAAATACCAGATAATTTTGCTCGTTTTTGAGATCTACAAAAATGGTATCCTAATATAGATATTTCCTGGGACTTGCTCTGTTATTCAACTCTACTCTTCCAAGATTAATCCTAGATAAATACAGCTGAAAGTCATTCATTTTCCTTGCTGTCTGGCATTCCATTTTATAAATACACCACAACTTATATTTCTATTCCCCTATCAATGGGTATTGTGGTTATTTCAAGCATATTGCCATTATAAACAACGCAGCCATAAACACCCTTGCATACATCTGCTGGCACACGTATAGAAAAGCTCCTCTTGTATATGCCCAGGAGTGGAATTGTTGGGTCACAAAGTATGTAAATTTTCAAGTTTATGTAGTAATACCAAAGTGGTATTTTTTTTTTTTTTTTTTTGAGACAGAGTCTTGCTCTGTCACCCAGGCTGAAGCGCAGTGGCGCGATCTTGGCTCACTGCAAGCTCCGCCTCCCAGGTTCACGCCAATCTCCCGCCTCAGCCTCCCGAGTAGCTGGGACTACAGGCACCCGCCACCAGGCCCGGGTAATTTTTCTTTTTTTTTTTTTTTTTTAGTAGAGATGGGGTTTCACCGTGTTAGCCAGGATGGTCTTGATCTCCTGACCTCGTGATCCGTCTGCCTTGGCCTCCCAAAGTGCTGGGATTACAAGCGTGAGCCACCGCACCCGGCCCCAAAATGGTATTTTTTTACACTCCAACAAACAAAATAAAAAAGTTCCTGGGCCGGGAATGGTGGCTCACACCTGTAATCCCAGCACTTTGGGAGGCTGAGGCAGGAGGGCCACTTTAGCACAGAAGTTCGAGACCAGATTAGGCAACAAAGTGAGATCTCTTCTCTACAAAAACTTAGCTGGGTGTGGGGACATGGGCCTGTAGTCCCAGTTACTCAGGAGGCTGAGGTGTGAGGATTGCTTAAGCCCTGGGAGGTCAAGGCTGCAGTGAGCCATGATTGCACCACTAAACTCCAGCCTGGGTGACAGAGTGAGACCCTGTCTCAAATTAAAAAAAAAAAAGAAAAAAAGAAAGAAAATTCCTGTTGATCCATAGCCTCTTCAACACTTAGTATTGTCAAGTGTCTTAATTCTTCCCATTGTAGTCTTCATGTACCTGATTAATGATGATGTTGAACATGCTACCTCTTTTCTGGTATCATTTTTCTATTGGGCTATCTTTTTCTTATTGACTTACACGATTTGTGTTTTTGTTTTTACTTTTGCTCCATACCACAAGTTCTTAATGATGGTCTCCTTTATTTTATTATTTTATTTCAGTATGGAAGTTTTACAACTGAAATTGATTTTATACATGGTGTGAGGCAGGGATCTAATTTCATCTTTCTCTGTGGGGATAACAATTACCCCAGAAGCATTTATTGAGACATCTCTCCCTTTCTTCTGATCTACAATGCCATCTCTGTCATACATGAAATTTCCATCTTCTTGTGTGACTGTTTCTAACTTTCTATTCTGTTCCACTGGTCAATCTGTCTACACATTTGCCAATACCACACTGTCTTAAGTATCAGACCTTTATATTAATAAGGTGCTCCTCCACCTTATTTTTCTTCTTCAGTAGGTTCTCACTATTCTTGGCTCTTTGCCTTTCTATTATCATTTTAGAATAGGCTTAAAAAATCCAATGACACACTTGTTGAGATTTTGATTGGAACCGTATTGAATACAGAGATCAATGTGATGAAAATGGAAACTTTGATGATATTGAGTCTTCCTATGCATGTACGTGGTATATTTATCCATTTATTTAAATTTTTGTTAATGTCTAATATCTGTGTCTTTCAATGTAGTCTTATAAAACTTCCTTTCCTTTCTAAATGTATTCCTAGGTAACACAGTTTTTATGCTATTATTAGTGATATTTTTAAAAACATTTTTATTGGTGGTGATGGCTGCAAAAGTGTGACTGTACTGAATGCCACTGAATTTAAAATAGTTCAATGTTAAATTTTATGTTATTTATATTTTGCTACAATCAAAAAATTGTTTTCTGTCACTTCTGGCAAGTAATTTTGAAAGCAATTAATTTTTAAATATTGATCTTATGCTAAAATAACTATTTCTAAAATGTATCTGTAATTACTTTGTTTTCTATGTAGACAATATATTATCTGCAATTACACAATTTTGTTTCCTCTTTTTTGATCCTTATGCTTATACTTGATCTTAGCCAAAAGGCTAAGAAGGGATGATCCTTATGCTTATAATTTCTTTTTCTTATCTTACTATGTTGGTTCTGATCTCCAGTAAAACACTGGACAGAAGGAATGTTAATGGGCATCCTTACTTGTTCTCAATGTTAAAGAGAATGCTTTCAACATTTCCGTATTTAGGCTGATAGCTCTTGCAGGTTTTTGGCAAATACCCTTTTTTTAAGAGAATCTCCTTCTCTTCCTAATGAGCTGAGAGTTATCATCATGAATGAGTGCAGAATTTTATCGAATTCTTTTTCTGCATGTACCATGATGAAGAATATGGTTTTTTCTTTATTATATTTACATGGCAAATGATATTTATAGGTTTACTAATGTTAAACCCCTCTTACATTCCTTGAATAAACTTGCTCATGGTGTACTACCTCTTTTAGATGTTGCTAGAGTTGATTGGCTTTTATTTTGATTCAAATTTTTGCATTTGTGTTAATAAATAAAGCCAGTCTGTAATTTTCCTTTTTAATACTGTCCTTAACTGTTTGTATTATTAAGATAAAACTAGCCATACAGAATAAGTTGAGGAAAATTCTCTTTTTCCACACTCCAGAAGAGTTTTTTTAAAAATATATTGAAATTATCTACCTTTTGAAAGATTAGAACTTACCCATAAATCTAGGCCTTATGTTTTCTTTAAGACTTTCAACTACTGTATCACTTTTTAAAATACTTATAGGACTATTCAGACTTTCTTCATCTTCTTGAGTCATTTTTACATAAGTTATAGTTTGTATGAGTTTGGTCCATTTTATGTAAGCTTTCAATTTTATTGGAATAAAGTTAAGATTACATTATTTTTGTCATTTTGGGTGTATTTATATTTTCTATGTCTGCTTTTCTACTCCTTATATTATTTATCCATGTCTTCTCTTTTTTCTTGATAGGTGTCATCAGAGGTTTGTCCATTTTATTAGGCTTTTCAAAAAATCACTTTTGGCTTTGCCACCCTCTACTGTGCCTTATTTTTGAATTCTATAATTATTGCTCTTATCTTTATATTTCTTTATCCTTTATTTAGATTTATGATACTGTTGTTTTTATAATGTCTAAAGCCAGACATTTAGCACATTAATTTCCAGCCTGTCTTCTTTTCAAATATAAGTTTTTATTTACTTATTTACTTATTTATTTATTTATTTTTAGAGATGGGATCTCGCTATGTTGCCCAGACTGGTCTCGAACTCCTGCGCTCAAGCAATCCTCCCACCTCAGCCTCCTAGGGAGCTTGGACTACAGGTGCACACCAACTATAATTATTTAAGCCAGTAAATTTCCCTTCAAATACTGACTTGCATTGCTCTCTACTTATTTGGACATACAGCTTTTTCATTATCATTCAGTTCTAAAACTTAATAATTTACTTCCATCAGGATTTCTTCTTTGACTCTTAAATTTTGAAATACATGGGGGTTTCTTCTATATCTTTTTGTTACTGACTTTCAACTTAATTGCAATGTGGACAAAGAATGTGGCTGTGTGATACCAAGTCTCTGCAATTTGTTCTCTTGTTTATGATGTAGGGTATGACAGATTTTTATAAATATATCATGTACGCTTGAGGCGTTTTGTCTAATTATTGGGTACACGGTCCTATATATTATCAATAAATAATCTTATCATCTTGTTCAAATCCTCTTTATCCTTTCTGCATTTTAAAAATCTGTTTAGTGTATTAATAATTAATAGAAGTATGTGGAAATCACCCACTAAGATAGTGGATTTATACATTCTTCATGTGGTTGTTTCCATTTTTGTGTTACATATTTGGAGGCTATTTTATGAGGTGCAGACACTTTTAGAATTGTTTAACTTTTGACTGAACTGAACCTTTTGTCATTATGTAGTTACTCTTTATCTGTAAGAAAGTTTTATATCTTCAAGCCTATTTCAGCATATATTAATGCAACCATACCAACTTTCTTCTGGTTAGTACTCATCTCGTATTTCTTTTTTCAATTTTTTACTTTTAAACGTTCTGTGTCCTGAAACTTAGGTGTGCCTCTGGTAAACAGCATATAGTTGGATTTTTTTAAACTTTAAAAATCTGTCAAGTTTAACCTATTTATGTTTATTTGCTTCTTGATATATTTGGACTTGATTTACAATGTTTTTTGTTTTGTTTTGTTGTTTGAGATGGAGTCTTGCTCTGTGCCCAGGCTGGAGTGCAGTGGTGTGATCTTGGCTCACTTCAACCTCTGCCTCCCGGGTTCAAGCAATTCTCTTGCCTCAACCTCCTGAGTAGCTGGGACTACAGGCCAGCGCCACCATGCCTGGCTAATTTTTGTATTTTCAGTAGAGATTGGGTTTTACCATGTTGGCCAGGCTGGTCTTGAACTCCTAACCTCAAGCGATCTGCCTAACTCGGCCTCCGAAAGTGCTGGGATTATAGGCATAAGACGCTGTGCCCGGCCAATTTACTATGTTTTAAATTTCTATTTATCTTGCTTTTTCTATGCTTCTTGCTTGCATACACCTAAGTTTCTGCATGTTTTTTATCCACAATTCATTTTTCTTCTCCCCATTAGAATTTATACTTTTATTCTTTTAGTGATGACCTTTGAAATTTGATGCTGTATATTTAACTTTAAAAAGTCTATAGAGTTAAATAAAATCTTACTCCTATTCCAAAATCACTCAATTACCACAGAAAAATTTAACTCCAATCAATTACAGGCTGTTGTCAATTATATATTTTTGTCCGCATATTGTCATCTACTACTGTTTAATCCATTCAGATTATGTTCTCTGACCACAGTGGAAATAAGCTAAAAACCAATTACAAAAATAAAGAATCCCAACTACCTGAAAATTAAACAATATATTTATAAATAATCCAAGAGTCAAAAAAGAAATCACAATAGATATCAGAAAATATTTATGAACTCACCAACTTCTTTTGTTCACTATCATTCTCTTGGAAAGGATCAAAAGGGAGGGTTTTGAAAAAGTTTTTATGATAACACAGGCCACTGAAGACATTCATCTTACTGAATTTCTTACATGGGGAAAAAATAGTTCAAACTAGAACATTATTGATCATTATTATTACCGATTTTAGAAAATTAAATCACAAGAACAAGATCACCCAGAATTAGCAGATATATACATATGTATATATTCATATTTATGACTTATTAAAGTGGACCATTTAATATCTCTGACTCAAGCTGCATATTAAAATATCCATTTCATTTGAAAACAGGTATTAAGAAATATAGACTGGCTATTTATAAAACATGTCTTAGCTGTAACTCACCTTAACATAGCTATTACTAGTGTTTAAATCTTGACTGATGTTAAGATAGTCCCCAAACTGATCCACAGATAATAATCCTATCAAAATCCCATCTGCCTTTTCTTGAGGAAATTGACAAGCTGATCCTAAAATTCATATGAAAATGCAAGGGATCCAGAACAGCCTAAACAATCTTGAAAAAGAAGAGTGAAGTTGGAACAATCATCCTTGGTGATTTCAAAACTTACTATAATGCTGTAGCAATCAAGACAATGTGATATTGGCATAAGGTCAGACATATAGATCAATGGAATAAAACTGAGGCCTTAAAAATAAACTTTTACATTTATAATTAATTGATTTTTGAGAAGAGTGCCAAGACAATCCCATGGGGAAACAATACTCTTTTCCACAAATGATGCTGATTTAACTGAATATCCACATGCAGAAGAATGAAGTTAGACCCCTACATCATACCATGCAGGACAATTAACTGAAAATGGACAAAAGACCTAAATGTAAGAGTCTAAACTATAAAACATAGGAGGGGCCGGGCGCAGTGGCTCACGCCTGTAATCCCAGCACTTTGGGGAGGCCAAGGTGGGTGGATCACAAGGTCAAGAGATCGAGACCATCCTGGCCAACATGGTGAAACCCCACCTCTACTAAAACTACAAAAATTAGCTGAGCATGGTGGCATGTGCCTGTAGTCCCAACTACTCGGGAGGCTGAGGCAAGAGAATCGCTTGAACCTGGAGGTGGAAGATGCAGTGGGCCGAGATCGTGCCACTGCACTCCAGCCTGGCGGCACAGCAACAATCCGTCTCAAAAAAAAAAAAAAAAAAAAAAAGGAGGAAATCTCTGTGACACTTGATTAGGCAACAGTATTCCAGACATGATACCAAAAGCACAAGTGACAATAGAAAAAAAACAGATAAACTGGACATCATTAAAATCTAAAACTTTTGTGCTTCAAGAAAGTGAAAAGATAACCATCAAGTAGGGAAAAAATATTTATAAATCCTATCTGACAAAGGGTTTTTATCTAGAGTATATAAAGAACATTTACATTCAACAATAAAAAGGAAAACATATGAATTTTAAAAAGGGCAAATAATTTAAATAGACATTCCTCCAAAGAAGATATACAAAAATCCAATAAGCAAATGAAAAGATATTCAACATCATTAGCCATTAGGGAAATGCAAATCATAACCACAAAAAAGAGATACTATTTCATACCCATTAGGATGTGAAAATCAAAAACAGAGACAACTCATAGTTTTGGCAAGGACAGGGAGAAACTGGAACCCTCAAACATTGCTGTTAGTAAAAGGGCACAGCGACTTTGGAAAACAGTTTAGAAGTTCCTCAAAAAGAGGAAATACAAAAAGTTATCATATGAACCAACAATTCCACTCTAGCTATACACTCAAGAGAAATAAAAACATATGTCCACACGAAAACTTACAAACAAATGTTCATAGCAGCATTATTCATAATGGCCAAAAGGTATAAACAAATCAAATGCCCCTCAACTAATGGCTAAACAAATTGTGGTATATCCATACAATGGAATATTATTCAGCCATAAAGGGAATGAAGTTCCTACTACAACGTGGATGAACCTGAAAAACATTATGCTAAGTGAAAGCAGCCATTCACAAAAGACCACCTATTATGATTTTACTTATATACAATGTCCAGAATAGAAAGCAGCCATTCACAAAAGACTACCTATTATATGATTTTACTTATATAAAAATGTCCAGAATAGACAAATCTGTAAAAACAGAGAAGTAGATCAGTGGTTGCCAGGGGCTTGGGGGAGGAAGAAACAGACCGTGGCTGCTAACAGGTATGGGGTTTCTTTTGGAGATGATGAAAATGTTCTAAAATTAGATACTGGTGTCGAATGTACAAGTCTGTGAAGATAGATATATATATAACCACTGAATTACTGAATTGTACATTTTAAAAGGGTGAATTTGATAGAATGTAAATTATATCTCAATAAAGCTGTTATTAAAAAATGGAGGACAAACTTGACACTATAGGTCTATTTCAGTTAAAATGATATAACCTATTCTAAGAATTCTTTGGTTATTTATTCAGGTCATTCTTGCCTAAAAACTAACTTGTCTGATGTTGGGAATAACTATTTGAAGCACAGAGAATGCATATAGCACACTCATAGATGGTTATCTGTGACAGGAAATCTCTTGACTAGGCTGTAGGCTCCTAGTGAACAGAAGCCTTGTCAGATTCATCTCTTTATCTCCAGTACCTAAAAGAAGTCCTGTTTCCCTTTGTGTCAATGAAGGCATGCTACTGGATGCAATGCAAAAGTCTTCTTTAGTCACGTCAGAACAATGCAGTGTGTGTCCATTTCCATTTCAAAATTTAAAAAAAGGCAAAGGGAAGAGATGACATCCTTTCTTTATTGGGGCTGGGGAGGAGCTCACATTGTGGACTGTCTTTCGTTCTCTCACTCACCTGCCTTTGCTGAAGAGGGACGAGACAGTTTCTGGCTATAGATGTGTGCAGCACTTTGGAAGGAAGAAAAGGGACCAATGGTGTGACTTCCTGATCGACAGCGTGGCAGGCCAGTAGGGCTTGGGATGTTCTGTGCCCCGGGATGTAGGCAGGGAGAAGCACTGGCAGAGACTGTGTTCAGTAAAATTGTTGGCTGGTGAGGCATGCTGGGGATAGCTGAAGGAATTTGAGATAAAGAAGAATGGTGGCAAGGCCCTGGAGAGAGGTCAGAGGTTGTAACAGATGACAAATGGGTGTTGGGAATTTTCTGCAGAGTAGCAGTAGGACCAGAGGAGGAATTGCTATAAACTAATTTTGCCTCTTTTTCTGCTGAAGTGGTAAATCCTATTAAAAACAAAACAAAACAAGACATCATTATAGGAAAAACAAACATACAATCTCTATAAAACAAATATTTTTAAAACATAAACATCACAATAATCTTGGCATGAAACAGAAATCATGAAAAATACAGACTTTAATGAGTGTTCATCATAAACTTAATGATTTTTGCCTACCAGAAACAACCTGGCAACAGAAATAGGAATTTACTTTTATTCCTTTCTAAAAGCTGGAGTTGGGACTACCTCTATGAAACAGAGCAGGCATGTCTTACACATGTTAGGACATCAAGATGAAGTCTCCACTAGCAACAGCTAATTCCTCTCCCCCTTCTTTTCACCCTTCTAGGAACAAAGAATGCACTTAGAATTTCTAAACTTAAGAAAACGAAAAAGTCTTTGGAAGGAAAATAGCTTATCAATAGATAAGAGAAAATTCTAAGGGAAAAGGAAAAAGAAAAATATTTCTTTGGGGTAATGTTCCATGCTTTAGAAATATTTAATATCTGATGACTATTTCCTTCTTTTAGGAAATTATCAGAGAGCAGCAAATCTAGGTAGGTTTGAAATCACTCACGAGATAATTTATCAGAATGAATTTCTGTCGTCTGTTGCTGTTTAGGTGGCTTTATTTTCACTTCTTCCATTATAGTCTCAGGGTGATCTGAAATAAGAAATAATGAGCTTGGACTCTCTTATAATCAATTGCAAGTCCGCTGTTCTATACATAATTTTATTCCCAAAAATATAACACAACTGCTAATCAATGCTGGGAAACATGGCACGTCTCATCACACTTTTCCAAAGATGAAGACACCCACAGCCCTAAGGAGTAGGCAACCAATTAAATGATTCCCAGCTATTCCCAATCCCAGCTACAGTTAACTGAACTGGCGAACGGTACCTAAACCCAGGGCAGCCATCCACGGACAGCCAACAAGCTAGGGCTTATCTGGAAAAATAATAATAATAATAAGGGCAGTCAGATTTATGCCAGGAATTCAGACTGAGGGTTCTAAGAGATCACGCTGGTTGGTGGTAGCCCCTGGAGCCAAGAAGTTACAATATATATGGAGCAGCGAAGCTACCCCGAGACAGCAAGAGCGGTCCCACTATTTCTTGGCATAATACCTGGATACTACGATGGCTCTGTATCTTAAACTCCTCAGCTTTTTTTTTTTTTTTTTTTTTTTGAACAAAGTTTCACTCTTGTTGCTGCCTAGGCTGGAGCGCAATTGCGCGATCTTGGCTCACTGCAACCTCTGCCTCCCAGTTCAAGCGATTCTCCTGCCTCAGCCTCCTGAGTACTTGGGATTTACAGGTGCCTGCCACCACACCCGGCTAATTTTTGTATATTTAGTAGAGACAGGCTTTCACCATGTTGACCAGGCTGGTCTTGAACTTCTGACCTCAGGTGATCCACCTGCCTCAGCTTCCCAAAGTGCTGGGATTACAGGCGTGAGCCACCATGCCCGGCCTAAACTCTTCAGTTTTACTGGAGATAGGTTGATCAGTATATTCAATAATAGTATCACTCTAATCAATTTTGACATTAATAACTAATTTTTTCCACTACAGAATTTTGAAACAGAATAGCCAGAGCTAATCATATATAAAAATATTCCAAAATCTTTGTCAAGGGCTAGAATCATACAAAAACTTAAGAAAGGCCATTTTATAGATCATCTTTCAGAGTGAAAGAATAAAGACATACGAATTTTCTCCCCTCCATCGCCAATAGCAGTGGTAACACTGTCACACACTTGTTTGTTCATGTTTGAAATGACTCCAGATACTATACTATCAAATGTCATAATGTTGTTTCCTTGATTGACGTCTTCCTACTGCCCCCGCCGGCCAGTTATCCTTAACAAGTTTACACAGGTATGGATCTTATGTAAAGGTAGTCCTTAAAACACAAACCCTAGAATTTTGAATGACCTATCAGTATAAAAGATGTCGCCACCACATGCTGTTAGGGCTTCCACATTACTGCCAGGGGAGAAGTTACTAGATGAATGTCCATCTAGGCCCCTACCTCCCCAAATTAGCACGCTTTTCTCTATTCCAACCTTATTACAAGAATTCCTTTGTCTCCCTTAGCCAAAACTCTTATAGGAGTTTTTCAGAGCTTCTGCCAGCTTTCTTATTCTATTCACTCACCTGACTTTTACCTACCAGACAATAAACTTTATAAAGTTAAAGACTGTGACAGTCCTGGTCATTGTATCCCTAGCAACCATGAAAATGCCTAACACATAATAGGTGCTAAGTAAAAAAAAGTATAGAAAGAATGAATGAACAGGTGAATGAAGTTAGAAAAACTCAAAGAAAAGGGCTGGATTCAGGACTTCCAGTAATACAATAATTCAATCATACCATGAGTTAAACAGGCTTATGTGGATTGGCCTATGAACCAAATCAGTTTTTAAAAGATTAACACTGTTTCTTTGGGAAAATTCATTCCACATTTTAAATGACCAATCTTCCTGGCTATTTCCATATTAGATTATCATAACTTAAGAGCAGGGAAGAAGTCTCCATCTTTGAATCTAGTACTTAGCACACTGACAACATCAGTAGGTTGATTACCTATGCCTTAGGCTTCCATCTAGGTTTTAAGTTAATTTTACATTTAAAGCACAGAGCTTTGTTTGTAACAGAATGTCACTGCTATTTTTTTTTATCATGGTGACGTGAGCTAGACAGCCACATCCATATTCAATTCCAAAATCCCCAACCATGGAATCCCCCAGCAGTAAGAAGTTTTAGAAACATGTAGGGGCATTCTGGATTATCACAATGGCTGGCGGAAGCTAATGGCATGTCAGGCTTGGAACCAAGTATATTAGACTTCCCACCAGGTATGGAACAGCCCCACACGACAAAGAATTCTCCTGCCCAAAATGCCAATGATGTTAAGTTAGAGAAAGTAACAAACTTGACAAGAGTCAGAAATAATCATTAAGAGAGACAGAAGAATATATTAAGAGCACAAACTTTGAGTCAGGCAGGCTATGTATCAAATTCCTTGTCCCTGCACGATAAAGAATAACCTTGGGCAAGTTACTCAGTCTCTTTTAGCTTATTTTCTCATCTGTAAAGAGGTTCTGTAGTAGTGCCCACTCTATATGGTTTTGGGAAGTAAAAAATAAGACCATGTCCAGCAGACAGAAAGATAAGTGTTCACTAAATATCAGCTATTATTAGCTTTTCTTGAAAATCTCTCTGCTGTTAATTATCTTGAAAAAAAATCAGACCATGCCCTTCTTCTGCTTTTAGGACAAAAAGTACTGTCCCCCATTCTCCACTCCCTCCCCAAGCTGCAAAGTCTCATTACCTTGGGGACTATTAGTGCTTAGCCAACACATTATTCCTCATTCTCCTTTGCATTTCTCATTTCTTCACTTGTTCTTCTTATTTTTCGTTCATTAACCAGTATACTTACCACCTTTTGCCCCACTATCAGAATAATTGTTGTTGTTCTTAGAAATTTTAGAGTGAGTCCCCAGGAAGACACTAGCAGACTTGTTCTTTTGGGTATAAAAAGTCAACACCTCCTCCAGTTCAGCCTCACTGAAATGAGGAGAAAAAGTATGGTCAGACAGGAAGCTATTCTGGAAAATCTTTCCACCAGATTTTATTATGAAAACAGAGCAAGCTGGAAAAGGGAAAAATGAAAAGCACAAGCTGAAAATTCCCTATTAATAGGTGGTTAAAATAAAATATAAATGAAAGCAATCTAAAAAATTTAAAGCATAAGGCTTTATTCATCCCGCAGTGAATTTTCTAGATCTACACTGTCTAATATGGTAGCGACTACTCAGTCATATGTGACTATTTAAATTCAAATTAAATTAAAGATTCTTTTCCGTAAACTAGCCACACTTCAAGTGTTCAGTAGTCACCCACAAAAAGTTCTATTGGACAGCCACATTCTAGAACAGGCGGCAAACAACTACACACTGTGGGCTAAACCTGACCAGCGACTTGTTTTTATGGCCCCCAGCCAAAAATTTTTTAAAATATTTTTAAAGAATATGCAAAACAACAATAACAAGACAACAACCACCACCACCACCACCCATATGTAGCCCACAGAGTCTGAAATGTTTATTATCTGGACCTTTACAGTTTGTTCAGCTCACTTCTAGATAATTGAAGTACCTTCACTTAAAGAGCCACTTGTCATTTTCATTGCCTATGTCAGAAATAAGGAAATCCACCAATAACCATAGAATTCCCTAACCATCTATATAATGCACGAGACTAAAGTATATCATCTCTAAATCACTTCAAATTACTGAAATTATATGCTCTTTATGAACAGCCACAAAATAGAAAGTATAAGGAAACAGATGAGAGGCTAGTGGATTCTTCTATTGAACATATCACACATGGACTTTAACATCTGTAGCAGCTTCTCAATGGCCTTTTTCTTTTCTTTTTCTTTTTCTTGAAGCTTGGCTACGTTCTAGGAAAGTGGCTATTAAGTGAAGAATGCCTGCATTATCACAGAGAACCTATATCCCATCTTCAGAAAACACACTCTAACCAGAACCTAGAAACCACCTTTATGAATCTCAGCGTAAACCCTAAAGTCTTCAAAGTAGCCAAATGCCACAAGATAAGTCTCTCAAGTGACTATCAAAGATCTACAGCTGAGGGTGCAAACCTTTGCCTGTCAGTGTGTTTTATTTGGCCCTTCACAGAATACTGAAAGGCAAAGGTTACGGTTGGTCAAAATACAAGCTGCTTTATATCTGTCTTATCCTTTGCCCACTTCATAATTTATGTTTTCCTGTCTGACTCCAGCAAGTATTTGAATTTACCAGCCCTGAAAAGTATCCATGTACTCAAACCAAACTTAATAAAAGAAGAACTGACGTCACCACATTATTTCCCAACAATCAACACCTAATCCCCAATCAGAAGTAATTATGTTCCAATGCATTTTATCTCCACATCTATATAATTAGTTAACAATATGTTATAATTCATTTTTAGTGTCCAGTTAGACTTGCTTGGGAAATAGTGTTCTTTTAAAGGCTGGGTTTTTTAAAATATATATTTTAGGGATTTTGAAGATCCTTAGGATAAACCTGAAAATTATCTTTTAGCTTTAAAAAGTAGAGCTATTTTCTGGACACAATCTGTTTTTTGTTTTTTTTTTTTAATCCTTTTCTGTTTTTATAACGTTGATGAGAGAAGCTGTTACTATACCTGTTTTATCAATCATATTACTTAAGACTCAAAAATGTCAACAAATAACACCATACAATTATGGACTCCTACAAAATGATATATTTGTTTGCTGTAAAGCGCATGATAGTGAGGTCTGAAAAGGGTATTAAACAAAGATTATATTATGCTGGTGATTGATAAGCTCCTACCCCTACCTCATTTAACTTCACCAATCAACATAGGGTAGATTTTCTACTGATTTTCTCCCTATTTGTGACTTTGACAGTTGAAGCCTAAGTAATGGGGCTTACTGTTTTTTTATCCTATTTTATTTTAATGGTTTTGCACATCTCTCTATTTAGAAAAAAATCCTCCAGTGTAAGTTTTACAAGATTTAAAATTAAGTGCCTTTGTTATCTCTTCCTTTGTAAGCCAACATAAATGGACAAAATGGCCTGGCTGACTTTTATCAAGATAGAGAGATGAATATCGAGATTTTCCATTTCTAAAGGCTAACCCTAAGCATGAAGAACTTGTTCTATTTTATATAAATTAGGTGTAACCCTCACAGAGTGGAGAAATTGCAAATTCCTCAGCCTACTCAATGTAGGCAAAATGTGGTCATTTCTACTCCATGAGTAGGTCAGGGACAAATTCAGACCCAGTAAATATGAGATGCCTCTAATTTCAACTTTCCAAAGAGCTCTCATGTGACTTCAAGAGATGTGCACTGTGAAGGCTGTCGAGAACTACAGCCCTGCTACCCAGCAGTAATGTTTTGATAACTGAAGCCATGAAAATAGCAACATAATTGGCTAAGATATGGAGAGGCCAAACCCATACAATCTTTTCTCCTTCTGAGAATGATTTCTTTTTTCATCATTTAGAGACAGGGTCTCACTATGTTGCCCAAGCTGGCCTCGAATTCCTGGGCTCAAGCAATCCTCCTGCCTCAGGCTCCCAAGTAACTAGAACTAAAGGGGTGTGCCACTGTGCCCGGCTTTAAGAGTGATTTCATTCACATCCATGTATCAGAAACAAAGGAATGCTGGGTACTCAATGAGCATTATGGAAGATGGAATAAGACAGCTTTTATCAATCAAGAATGTCTACTACCTTGCTTGTCTGATGAACTCCTGAAAGTTTTCCATATTCACCCCATCTTCCTCTTCTTCCTCAACTTTCTTCTTTGATTTCTTTTCAGCCATTTGTTCTGTTTCCTACCCAGTGCCCAAACCCCACAGAAAAACAACAAGATAAAACTGACTCCTAATAAATATGCACTTCATCATGTAGTTTCAATAGCCTTGAGTTAATCTGTCCTTATAGTAAAGACATTTAATTCTTGTATGTACTTTTGCCACCTATAAATTTGACATATTACTTTTGGCCATGATTTTGTAAAACATTTTGAAATTCCCAAGTAAAAGTTGCAGAATGAATGTAAATTTTAATCATGTTTTTACTTTCTACTTACACAGCCCATTGATTAAAGAGGTTTTTATAGTAGCTTAGTAATATCTATGATCACCCTTGTAGCTTTAACAATATGACAACAGAGACACAGTATTTTGTTCCAATTAGGAGAGGAAAGACAGATCTTGGAAGGTACTCTTATACCAGCTTCCATACTGAATAAATTCTTCACTTATATAAGACATAACAAAATTCTCAACAGATCTGGAGTAAATTGTGGCTATGAGTTTGGTGCACTGATATTCTACCAACAATTCCATGCAACTTTAGAAAAGCCATTTAAATTTCTATCAGCTTTTCCTTCTGCAAACTGACCAAACCTCCCAAACCCAAACACCCAAAATGATATTTTTAATGCATTCTGAGATCCCGGGATATAGAATGCTTTGCAAAATATTCTAATTAAATAGTATATTTCTTGGGCTTGACTGTAAAATTCTGTAATGTATAAAATGTTTTAAAGATGAAAGTATAACTCGTTCAAGAAAGAATATGTCATTACATTCAATCCACAGCTCAAATTTGTTCTCCAATGGTCAATTTGCCACTTTCTACAGGCACTAACAACCGTGCAGACTCACACAGCCTAGGATTCATCTCAGTGCTCAAAAGGAATATGCCTTTTGATAAGAATTAAGAATTAACTATGGCCACTGGGCCTTCAGAAGTAATAAATAGTTTTTCAGACCAGCTGAGTTAAGGTGTGGGGTCCTGCTTCCCCTAACAGTAATACATAAGGGATGGTGATGCCAGAGAACAGAAGAAGAGTGTCTCCATCCAGTTGGACAGAGGCTTCTATCTAGTCTGTTTCTGACAGTGTATGGCAATCCAAAGCACAAGACTAACAGAAAAAGACTTACCTTGTTGTATACAATGATAAAGTCACCCAGCTGGTGGGCCAGGATTCTTCTGCGTTCCAGAAGTGCCAATCGTCGACTGGGTAATACCATCCTCAGTGAATGCTGGAGGTTATTTGATGCTCGCTTGAGGAAACGAACAACCAGCTCCTATAAATTAAAGAGTCGTGGGAGAAAAAAAAAGGAGGGATGGTGCTAAGCAACAGAAGACAAGCTATGAAGGCATTATATAACAGAGATGGAAGAAGACATATATTACACATTTCAACAAACAAGACCCAGAACAAAAAGGTTAGGTATAAGAAGCATACAGAAAGACAAAACAAAAATGAAAGAAACTTATTCCCTTCCCTCAATCAGCTGGCAATCAGAAAATTTAAATCAAGTATGTATGTAAATAACTATGTAATAAAGTAGCAGTTGTAAAAGTACCACAGTACATACACAAATAGCACTATTTAGGGAAGGTAGCATTCAAAGACAGGTAGTAGGAACTAAAACTGTGGAAGCAGATGAAAGTATCAAAGGTGAGAAGACAGAGAATACAGAAATATTCATATTTAGAGATAGAAAAGATGATGAAGTATCAGGAAAAAAAAAAAAAAAGTTAGAAACACCAGAAACACAGAAAACCAGGAGAAAATAGGCTGGGCATGGTGGCTCACACCTACAATCCTAGCAATTTGGGAAGCTGAGGTGGGCAGATCACTTGAGGTCAAGAGTTCGAGATCAGCCTGGCCAACACAGTAAAACTGCATTTCTACGAAAAATACAAAAATTAGCCTGACGTGGTGGCACACACCTGTAATCTCCGCTACTTGGGAGGCTGAGGTATGAGAATCACTTGAACCCAGGAGGTGGAGGTTGCACCGAGCCAAGATCATGCCACGGCACTCCAACCTAGGCGACAAAGCAAGATTCCATTTCAAAAAAGAAAAAAAAAGAAAATTAAGAGAAAATAGTGCCATGGAGGCCAACTGAAGAAAGGGTTCCATGTCAAATGCTTCCAAGAGGCTGGAGCTGGAAAGGCCCACTACAAAGACAAGGCCTTGGATCTGACCACTGAGGGATAATTTCAAGAAAACAGTTTCAATAAAGAGAGTACAAGAAGACATTAAGAAAATGCATGGGTAATGAAAAATATACGTGAAGAGTAGAAACTAATGACTTTAAAAGTGTCGTGATTAAGGCAAAGAAAGAACTATCACAGTAGTTTGAAAGGTAATAGCTTTTTTTCTTCCCCAAGAATAAGGGAGCTTTTAGAGTTGGGGGTTGTCAAGGAGGGCACAGTGGAAAGTTATTAAGGTAAAGAAAGAATACATCTCACAGAAGATGGGGGCAAAGGATTTTGAAATCTGAACAGATACCAATCAGATTACTGATGAAATCATAAATGCTTCAAAGAGAGATTTTATAAGGCCAAGAGCCTTAAAGATGTTGTTGTCCAAAAACCACAATAAAACTGCCTTCAGATGATAAATCTGGGGACGTTCTGTTGATGTGCCTTCTGTGAGTTATGAGATAAGGAATCTCTAACCTAAGCTGGAACACAGAGGCCAACTCTACATCTACCTTCCTCAAAAGCAAGACCACTGCTACAATCATCAGGGAATGGGGTAAGGCTTGTACTCTCGCTCTCTCTCTCTCTCTCTCTCTCTCTCTCTCTCTCTCTCTCTTTCTCTCTCTCTCTCTCTCTCTCTCTCTCTATATATATATATATATATATGTATTTTTTTTTTTTTTTGAGACGGTATCTTGCTCTGTCACCCAGCCTGAAGTGCAGTGGTGTGATCTCAGCTCACTGCAACCTCCGCCTGCCAGGTTCAAGCAATTCTCCTGCCTCAGCCTCCCAAGTAGCTGGGACTATAGGTGCGCACTACCACACCCAGCTAATTTTTTTGTATTTTAGTAGAGACGGGGTTTCACCATGTTGGCCAGGCTGGTTTCGAACTCCTGACCTCAACTGATCCACCCGCCTCAGCCTCCCAAAGCGCTGGGATTACAGGCATGAGCCACCGCACCCAGCCTAGATATATTTTCAAGAAAGAATTCACAGAACTGGTATTAAGTTTTGTAGTGATGATCCTCAATATTCTTGTAGAAAGCCCCAAAGAAATACTGTGTGAATTCCAAGCCAGCATCCGCAGTGGTTATTCTTTTTTGAACTATTTTTTTTCTTCTTGAATTTGATTTTGGTTCATTGTCCTTTGGTGCCAATTTACTCCAGCATAAGTGAAACAGCCTCATAACCAGAGGGTTGAATTTCATAGTTCTACTCTGCTGTCTTTACTATAGGGTGGTTTAAGCTGTTATATTAAAACATTATTTTTTTCACAGTGGAGCAGACAAACTGACTCTCAAAAAGGCAGTTTCAATTTTCCACTTGGAAAGAGCAGAGCTAACATTTTCCACTGATGGTTGAAGGATTATTCACAACACACAAGGTTTTATCTCTGGGTTCCATTGGCTACTTTAAATTCATAAGTTGTTTTCTGGGATAACCAACATGTTTTTACAATAAGCCTGGCATAAAGACTTGCCTTTTGTATGTGGAGGACTAAAAATTACAATAAGGTCACCACTGAGTGGAACAAAGAATGCAGCTTTCTCAGACTTAAAGGCCCCTCTCCTTTTGGTGACAAATCCCTGTTATTAAAAAGAATATGGGGCCAGGCGCGCTGGCTCATACCTATAATCCCAGCACTTTGGGAGGCCAAGGAGGGTGGATCACCTGAGATCAGGAGCTTGAGACCAGCTTGACCAACATGGAAAAACCCCGTCACTACTTAAAATACAAAATTAGCTAGGCTTGGTGGTGGGTGCCTGTAATCACAGCTACTTGGGAGGCTAAGGCAGGAGAATAGCTTGAACCCAGGAAGCGGAGGTTGCAGTGAGCTGAGATCGCACCACTGCACTCCAGCCTGGGCGACAGAGCAAGACTCTGTCTCAAAAAAAAAAAAAAAAGAATATGGAAGGGCTGTGGCTTCTTCCATAAACTCTGACCTTACCAAACAGCTTAAAGCTCCCCATCATTCTGATTCACACACACAAAACTGTCCTAGAATACTGAATCCCAGGAATGTTCAAATGACTGATATACAGTAAAAATGATTATACAAGTTTGATTCTAGCAATCTAAGAATCTTAAGAGGTTACAACTAGTAAAGTAAAAAATACCAACTTGGAGGATGGTATATTCTGACAGGGCCTATGATAAGGTGATGACTTTCAAAGAGCTAATTTGACTCCTCAGGACAGAAAATAAATGCTTTACAATGCATGAAAGCAATGGAGGAGCAAGTAAAGTACATCTGAGTTTAAGTTCTGGTTTCATCACGTATAACCTGTGGAACCTTGGCTTCTCGAGGTCTTTGTTTGCTCTTCTGTAAAACAGGGATGATAATGCCTACCTCAGAGTTAATAATGTGAGGTTGCTTGAGAAAAGACTGTAAATTGTTATTCTTTTAAAGGGCTTTGCACAGGGCTTCACGTCCAATGAGAAATCAATTTCCAATTCAAAATGAAATACATTGATGCCTTCACTACATGGTGTAATGAACATAGCTCCAGGTCAAAGATTTGCTTCACATTGAAGTATAAGAAATAAGTATATATAAATCTTGTAAGTATAGATTTATAAGAAATCTAAAAACCTTCTTACATAATAATCCTTTCACCAGAAAAATATCGCACTTTACCCTAATAGGAAAAAAAAAAAAAAATACAGAAAGAAGAAAGAAAAAGGGAAAGTAAAAAGGTTTCAGTAAGAAAAGCCTTACCATCTGTTCATCCTCTTTGGCAGCCCAACTGGCACTGAACGTCTGACCGCCACTGTCTTTCATCAGGCGAATTTGAACATGCTGGAGATAGGCAGAGAATGCTATTCGGGCCTGCATTTTGCTATAGAAATCCAAAACAACATACCGTTATGTGACAGAAGTGTAAAACTACAAAATGTGTACTTGCTTCTCTCCAAGTGGCCTTTGAGGATGCTTCTATTATGATGGCTAAGAAATATGAAACCCATCTTACAGCCTGTGAATAAGGATTCCTTCTAAGCAGTACATGAAGGTTTTTCTTTTTAAATTTCCTATTAAAAGAATCAGAGATGGAGAATCCTATTTATTTTCTCATTATTAGCATAAGGGAAAAAAAGAAGAATAGAAAATTAGATTTCTTACTCCTTCTCTTTGAAATTTTTTTTTTGAGACAAGGTCTCATTCTGTCACCCAGGCTGCAGTGTAGTGGTGGAATCTCAGCTCACCGCAACCTCCATCCTGCTGGATTCACGTGATTCTTGTGCCTCAGCCACCCAACTAGCTGGACTTACAGGTGCACACCATCACACCCAGCTAATTTTTGTATTTTTAGTAGAGACGGGGTTTCACCATGTTGGCCAGGCTGGTCTCGAACTCCTGGCCTCAAGTGATCCGCCTGCCTTGGCCTCCCAAAGTGCTGGGATTACATATAGGCCTGAGTCACTGTGCTTGACCCTCTTTGAACTTTTTAACAACTTTCTTGGGGGAACAGACAGGAGAAGTACTCAATCTTCACAAAAACCACTGTATTAATGAGAAAATGTTTTTTACATTTGGAGGTCCATAAGAACTTATCAGTTAGTACAAAAGCAAAAGTGTGGATTTTGCAATGGCAATTAATATTTCTAGTATATAAAAGTGTCCAAAGCAGGAAATAGATAAATCCTATAAAGGGACTCTTAAGACCAAATTTAAGGCCACACTGTTCTCAACTACAAGATGGAATGGCTGGAGCCCAGAGCAAATGAGGGAGGTCCAACAGAGTTTGGCACAGATGAACTGATGGGCCAGGCAGGACAAGCCCAGATGTTCAGTGGGCGAAAGAAATCCTCAAGTCTTGTGAAAAGCACCTTAGCAACATCATTAAAGAACGCAGCTATTTTCTGCCTGGTGGCCTAGGCTGGAAATAAGGAAATCTGATCAAGCTATAGTTTGGAAGACAGAAGTACCAGAGAGACACTGATGATTTTCACCTCAGCTGCTGTTCATGGCAGATCTGTTTTCTTTCAGGCCAGATTTTGGTTACTTCAGCTGATCGGCCTTCTGATACTGTAGCCAAAATTATATCAGCGAAGATTAGGGCCCAACACAAACTTTGTTTACAATCCCCACAAATGCAATCACTGAATGCTTTCTACTGACTGTTTTCACAAGGTTAGGAGGTAGGATTTGGCTAAAGTAAGCTGCACATCTTAAGAGGGCTCCAGTCTAGCTTCCATGTGTATGTTGGAGAATTGGAGGGCAAGGGAGTCAGGCTGGGGAGAAGATTTGCTTTTGAGAGTTTAATACATAAGAGCTTCAGAACATGAACTAAGAATAAGGCTACATCTTTGTTACTAGCAGGGATGGTTTTTATGGGAGCATAATATGGTTTTGAAATAATACACTTATATTTTCTTTTTTTTTTTTTTTTTTTCGAGACAGAGTTTTGCTCTTGTCACCCAGGCTGGAGTGCAGTGGTGTGATCTTGGTTCACTGCAACCTCTGCCTCCCAGGTTCAAGCGATTCTCCTGCCTCAGCCTCCCAAGTAGCTAAGATTACAGGTGCTCACTACTATGCCCAGCTAATTTTTGTATTTTAATAGAGATAGAGTTTCACCATGTTGATCAGGTTGGTCTCAAACTCCTGACCTCAGGTGATCCACCCACCTCAGCCTCCCAAAGTGCTGGGATTACAGGCATGAGCCTGCACGCCTGGCCATAAATGTACATTTTCAACTGTTCCTCAAAGACAATAATTATACTCTTGTTTACCCAGAGAGCATATATCACTTTACCCTGAATCAATCCTATAAGCTTTGTCTCCACAACAAATTATTCTCAAGTCAAAATAAATTTAAAAGATCCTCAGTTTGGGTCAATAAATTCACCTACAATATAATGAGCAAGAAATAGCATGTTTCAGACACCTTCAAATGTAGCAGAATATCCAATTCCACGGATTCATCCCTTTATACTAAAACTTGAAGATCTTTTAAATAAGGGGATTATTGCTCATAAGTTGAGACTTCAATCATTGTTTTGTTGTGAATCACTGTTGCAAAGCAAATGAACAAATATTGAGGTTTCCATTTCCATAAACGTCACGAATGTTAATTCTGAGACTGTCTCTAAGGTATTGGACACATTGTTCAGCTAGTCACTTGCAACAAACCCCCCAAAAGATGAAAGAATAAAAACCAGAAAGAATAAAAACCAAAGAAACCTATTTTAAAAAACAAAAGGTTATGCAGATGCTCAGTATATAAGATATGCAACAATGACGCGATCCTTAGAGTTTTGAACCCTGGCTGTGCGTGGACTTTCCCCAAACCCCTAAGTAGCCTCTGAGACACTTCACCGAACAATGAGCAGCTTTAGGGAACACAGTCTGAAAACCACTGATTGACACTAACGCAGCCTGCAATTTTAACAGTTTACTCATTCAAAGCGAGAGCCACAAGATTCATGAAGAAATAATTTATTTCTACAACAACTAAGCAGAATGTTATTGCTGGAAAGGACCTTAGAATACAGTCCAGTGGTTTTCAAATGCTCTATTTTCAATTCAGTGAAATCTTCTTTCCCTCTAGGAAGAAGTTTGAAAAAACACTTGTCTAACTCCACATCTTGGATTGACAGAAAAGGAAACTGAGGCCTATAGAAGCTCTTTGACTTGTCTATGACCACACGGCCAGTTGGTAGCACTAAAACAGCCAGAGCTCAGGTCTTCTGACTGAGTTTAGCATATTCTATTCTCCACTGACAGAACTATTCTTATTCTCCATGACACTGTTCCAAACCTTAACTCTATCCCCTGCTACTCCAATGTCACCCTCCAGCCTTTCAGTATAAGAACTGGCCTCTAATTTAGAAATAAAGACTATCATGCATAAACGGCTAAACTTCCTTGCTCTTAAACTTCTGTCAACTTCATTCATCCCATAGCACTTTCTTTCTGACTGATAGGAAGAGATACTCCCTCCTCTGGCCTCTTCCCACCTTCCTTTAGTACTCTTCTCTACCAATATGTCCATTTCTGCATTTCTAATCCTCTTATCCTCAAATCCTTCCCCTTAGTCTATAAACAACCTCCAGAACCTCTTCTCAAAAGAAAAAAAAAAAATCCGTTTCTTTTAGCTGGCTGTCTCCCTGATGCATTCTTACCTTCCTTTCATTGCCAAACCCTTAGACAGTTAGTTCACACTTGCTTTCTTATTTTCTCCACTCACAACTGGTCTTCCACCTACTCAGTTGGCCCTAGGTCACAAATCCAGAAGTCTCTTTTCACTATTCATCCTAACTAGGGCTGTTTGAGGCTCTACAGACCTGAAATGCTCATTCTGCAGCTTTTACCATACTACTCCTTCCTGATCTTATGTCTATTGCTCTAACTGCTACATCTTGACCTTTTTACTGACTTACCCATTGAACAGTGGTATTCCCCAGGGCTCAATTCTTTTTTTATCCTTGCTGAACCAAATAAATTTGTGAACAATCTTATCCATTCGCAAGACTTTACCTACCAACTATACAATCCTGTTCAACCTTGATCAACAAAGCTGTCCACCTGTCTATTGGACTTTAGCCCAGAACCCTTCTTCCTTACTACATCTTAAATCAAACTCATTGTTTTTAACATGAAACCAACTCCTATGTTCCTTATATTGACCAAAGGCACCACCAAGTTTCCAAATGTGAAAAACTTAGTCTCATCAATTTTACTTTGCAAATTTTACTAAGTCCATCCCATTCTCTCCACTCCTAAAGCCATTACTCTGATCAAGGCCTTCATCTTCCTGGCTCTGGACAATTCTAACAGTCCCTAACTCACCCCCCTGCCTTTAGTTTCACTATCCCACAATGCAAGCACGATTTACTTTCTAAAACAAGATCTCACCGTATCATTTATCTGCTTAAAAGTCATCTAGAAAATAAAGCTTAGGCTCCTCTTACGGCCCTTCACAATCTAACAACATCCAATTTTTTAGTCTCATTTCTTACCATGCTCTTCTCCTTATATAATTCCTCTAGTCTGTATTTTGTAAACACACCAAGCTCATTACGATGTCTGGGCTTTTGTACTTGCTATTCTGCTGGGAGTATTCTGCCTCCTACTATTCACACGACTGACTCCTCATCATTCAGGACTTACCTCAAAGGTTACCTCTTCATGCCAGATCACTGCAATTAAGTAACTCTGCCCAATTACATTCTAACATTACACCATCTTATTGTCCTGACAGCATTTCTCACGACCTGAAATGACCTTGTTTCTTTGTTAACTGTCATTCTTCCCCACTAGACTGTAAACTCCAGGCCTATCTTGGTCCCCACAGTAATGTGATATGGCCTAGCACAACTGGCATAGGGCAGGTGCTCAATAAAAACTCACTGAGGGACTTAATGAATGACTGTATTATCACACCTCTATGTCTTTTTTTTTTTTTTTTTAAGATGGAGTTTCACTCTTGTTGCCCAGGCTGGAGTGCAATGGCACAATCTTGGCTCACTGCAAACTCCACCTTCCAGGTTCAAGCAATTCTCCTGCTTCATCCTCCCGAGTAGCTGGGCTTACAGGCATGCACCACCACACCCAGCTAATTTTGTATTTTTAGTAGAGACAGGGTTTCTCCATGTTGGTCAGGCTGGTCTCGAACTCCTGACCTTAGGTGATCCGACCACCTCGGCCTCCCAAAGTGCTGCAATTATAGGTGTGAGACACTGAGCTTGGCCACCTCTACGTCTTTATTGCCTCTACCTAGCACTCCCACATTTAACCATCACTTCCCAAAGCTCCTGAAACCCTACTCATCTGTCAAGGCCTGATTCAAATTTTCCCTCATCCATAATGCCTTTCTAGCCCTCCCAAGCCAGACCAATCACTCTTTTTCTGTGTCCTAAGACCACTTTGTTCATAGTGGGGCCATGGCCTGAGCTCTCTGTCTCTGATACTAAACGACGAGCTGCTTGAGCTCCTTGTCCCAGTTACCTTATACTCAGTGACTGACACAAATGCCCAACCAATGAGACCCGGGTTTGTATCATAGCTCTACCTTAGACAAGTTACCTAACCTCTCTAAGGCTCAGTTTCCTTAATAATAACAGTATCTAATCACAGTCATTATTTCATAGGACTTCTGTAAATATTAAATGAAAAATGACTGTAAAACCACTAAAATAGTAGCTGGTACACAGTACAAGTTAGCTGTTATCAGTTTTACTAATATAATTATAAAAGATACATACCTAAGATTGCCATTATCTTGAAGAATCTGCATCAGGTTAAATTTAGGCTCTAGCTCCTGAGTCTCAAGTTTGCAGCAGTGTCCACCTTTATTATTCCATTCACGAACTTTCATGGAATTTTCTTTGGGTGTATTTTCTACCAAAGCTGTCAATGAGGGTGTATATTTGGCTTGATTTTCTCTAAGAAATCCTGCAGACTCCTCCTGGGAAGCCTCCTGTTCTTCATCTTCATTATCTAATGCGACTTCTTCCTCCTCTTCACTCTCTGTCTCAGTTTTAACATTCATTTCAGCTGGTTGGGTAATCACTAAATACGAAGAATCACTAATGTTGCTGAAAAAAGGATTAAATGTTCCTCTCTCCCAATACCTTCCTTTTCTCTTTTTAGTAAAAGCCCATTTCTAAACCAAACCACAAACAAGGCACAGAATTAATAGCACCCACATGTCACTCTCTAATCTCATATATTCTTTTATTTATTTTTGTTTTCATTTATTATCATTTTTTGATTCAGGGTCTCGCTCTGTTGCCCAGGCTGGAGGGCAGTGGCAGGATCTCGGCTCATTACAGCTCGACATCCTGGGGTCAAGTAGTCCTCCAACCTCAGCCTTCCAAGTAGCTGGGACTATAGGCACATGTTACCATACCCAGCTAATTTTTGTATTTTTTGTAGAGACAGGATTTTGCCAGATTGCCTGGGCTGGTCTCGAACTCCTGGGCTCAAGCGATTCGCCCACCTTGGCCTCCTAAAGTGCTGGGATTACAGGCATGAGGCACCATGCCTGGCCTAATGTTACATATTCTAAAACCTATTAATAATCTTCATTAAAGTATACATTTTTCATCATACTCTCATCATCACTCTCTCACAACTTAAGGCAAAAAATAAAAATAAAAAAACAAAAAACCCTTGGCTTAGTAATTTCTACAGTGTATTAGAGATTTTTTAAAAAGCACCCTTCACGGAGGTATAAAGAACAGGGGAATATCTTTCTATCCTATGTTTATTCATTATCCTTCTCTATCGCCTTGTAAGTTCTATGAGGACAGAGACCATATCTTTTTTATTTACCAGCAAAACCTCAGTGACTAACACACTGCCTGACACAGACGTTCACAGGAGGGAAGGAGAGAAAAAAAGGAAATCAGTATATCAGTCAATTATAAACAGACCTACAACATTGTAGAAGCTAGGAGAGAAAGAAATTCCACTTTATCTAAAATACTTATGCCATTCAGCAATGTTAAAGAATGAACTGAACTTACCTAATTATAAAAAACCTGAACAGTAATGCTCAGGATTCCATTAAACTCAGGCTAATATTATTTCTAGAGTATCAGGTATTTGTATGATGCTGACATAAGAGCAAAGGCCAAAATGTATGTGTTTCAGATAGTCTTCAATACAAATATTATAGAGTGGAAGGTTTAAAAACTTAAGACTTTGTTGAAATTAAGTTTCAGAGAAAAAACTATATAAAAAAGGTGTATGTGATCAGGAAGATTCTGACTCATGAAATACTGAGTAAGCAGCTGGTTAACTCAGTCTGGCAGGATCCAGATAAGGGAGTTTGGTGAAAGCTCACCAGCAGGTACCTGGGTATTTTGGCCTCATTGCCCTCAATCTGCTACTCCGTCGTCTACGTTTTCGCACCTCCAGAGACAGGAGCTTCCTCTCGTAAAGTGCAGCATGCAGCTTGGCCTTTGAATTCAGACTCTCTATCTTCAATTCTGGCGCTCCATCAGCAGTCATTCTAGGGGAAAAGCAACATGGTAGCTATGGCCTTCAGAAAGTTCTCTCCTTCATTCCAAGGCTAAGCTTCCCAGAATTCCATAATGCTGACATACTGGACATGGTAACTCAAGTGAATTCTAAAAGTTTGACAGATAAAGAGGAACACTAGAATCTACGTTAAAACCTCACTAGTGACCCATTTGAATTTATTAAATGTTCTAAAAAAATATGCAGCTAAAGACAATGTTTAAGACCTTTAAGTGTTCAGTGATACTGATTATTACTTTACTGCAGGGATTATAAAGTGCCACCCAACACCTTATACCTTAAAATACTTTATACCTTAAAAACGACAATATCTTAATTCTTAAGTTGAGTGGTGGCAAATGGTGTTTGTTTCATTTCTACCCATTATAACTTACTCAGCATTTTATAAATATTCTTTTGAATGTATATAAAATCTAAACAATATGGATTTAGCAGAGGTTCAGATGAGGGGAACAAAGGCTGATGATCTGTGAATACGTGAGGGAGCACCGAGTTGACTGAGACGCATAGAAGTGTCTTAGTGAAAAGTCACCAAGCCCTAGGGACTCACCAAGTCTCAAGCATCCCAACATGAGGAAATGCCAAGGCACCCACCCTCCTTTAAGATCCTGATTATATACAGGAGAAGGTGGAGCAAGGTGGCAGGGACTTTACAGGCGTTAAGTACAGGTCTGGAGTTACAGTCAGAGGCACAGACAAGGGAAGGCAGCAGAGATAGGACAAGGCTAAATACATCAAGTCAAGAATGAGAAATGGGATGTGGAAAGGGGGCTGGCACCAGCTACATTAGGCATTAAAGTAACACAAATCACAAATCAGGCAGTGACTGATATGAGGCCCAGTCTAGACAAGGACTGAGCAAAATACAAGAGAGGCAGCCATAACCAAGTCACCAAAGAGAGGGCTCTGGGTCACCAGGTCAGAAAAGCAGTATCTATATCAGTGACTGAAAGCATGTAGCCAACTCTCTACGCTCAAACGCAATATCTAATTGGTTGGCTCTGAACTCTCTAGAACTCAAAGTGTGTTCCCTTTGAGGTCAAGAAATCATCCTAACTCCTCTGGGAGTTTTCAGTCTCTGAGTATAATAAAAAGGCTGTGTCATTTGGTCTATTTAGGACCTTTCTGATAGGGATTTCTGGGTGGATGGAATGGATGGTAAGTCTTTTGGAGGCCTTCTCTCCAGAGTAAGACAAAGAGCCAAAAACAGGAAGGTCCTGGCACTGGGAGCAGAAATGGGAAGCAAATCAATGAACTTTAAAAATGGTTCCAATGTATTTTATCAGAGTCCCAAAGAGTACACACACACACACACACACACACACACACAGAGAGAGAGCTATAGAAATAAACTTTTAGCCAATTCAATAATAAAGAAAATAAAACAAATCTGATAGAAAGATAAAATCATTTAAACCATTTATTCAATAATGTCTGGCTAACTTGGTCAATTTTGTATTTTTTTTTAAACTTGGTCAAATTTGATAACTATATGGACAAACATGGGCATAGCTTAACACCGACATCATTATCTCATAAACACACAAACTCTCTCTCCAATGACGTGTCTCTTAAAAACTTAATGTGATTGGAGACAATCTAATGTTTGAGATCATCCTAATTAAATGAGTGGAAGTTAATTCAACACCCTAATAAGTTAAAGCCCAGTGTTTACGTTCACGAACCACTGTTCATTATATAAACAAGAGTTTATATTGTCTACATTATACCGTCTACATTGTCAAGAACTCCATTCTTTAGGAAAAAAAGATTTCTTTTTATCAACAAAAACTCAAAAAATAAACTTCTGAAAACATGAACGCTAAAAGCTCACAGATATGGAGAAGCTACTACAAATCTCTTTCTCTAAAGATATTTTAAAATAACAACTAAGAACCAAGAGACCCTGGATAAACAGATAAATCCTAAATAGTACAAGGGATAGAGGATAGGGAATGCTGGGTAAAATATGAATCTGATAAGCCAGAATAATAGTTCTATGAGGGCAAGGACCATGTTTGTCTTGTATCACTGTATCCTAGATGCTTATGAGACTGTCCAGCACACAGCTGACTTGCCATAAATATTGGTTAATTAACAAACAATTGAATTTCCTAAAAATAAGTTGGATATCTTTTAGCTACATCTTTTTCATTTACTTTTTCCAACTATTTATTTATTTATTTATTTTGAGACGGAGTCTTGCTCTGTCACCCAGGCTGGAGTGCAGTGGCGCCATCTCGATTCACTGCAACCTCTGCCTCCTGGGTTCAAGCAATTCTCCTGCCTCAGCCTCCCAGGTAGCTGAGACTACAGGCATGTGCCACCACGCCTGGCTAATTTTTTGTATTTTTAGTAGAGATGGGGTTTCACCGTATTAGCCAGGATGGTCTCAATCTCCTGACCTCGTGATCCACCCGCCTCGGCCTCCCAAAGTGCTGGGATTACAGGTGTGAGCCACCACGCCCAGCCCCCAACATTTTTTTTTTAAATATTTAAACAAAAGTTTAAAGAATTGTACAGTGAACAACCATATACCTACTTACCACCTAGTTTCTACAATTAACATTTTACTATATTTTGTTTCGTCACGTATATATCCAATCATATATCCTTCATCCATCAGTCTATCTAATTTTTAAAGCAATTCAAAGTTAGAGACATCAGTACATTTTGCTCATAAACATTTCAACATGCATATCATTACTATCTAGAGTTCAATAATTGTTTTATAGAACTGTGTTGGGTAAGCTAAAAGTTACATACAGTGACATATCCAAATATTAAATGTCCACTTAATGCGTTCTGACAAATGCCTAGAGCTATATAACCTAAACTCTTAATATTAGTATCAACTCAGAAGTTCTCATGCCCCTTCCCACTCCTATCCAGTCAATCCTTCCCTAACGTCCTAAAGGCAATCACTGTTGTAAATTTTTCATCATGTATTACTTTTGCCTGTTCCAGAATTTCATAAAAATGAAACCATACAGTATGAACTGTTTTGTATAAGGCTTCTTTCACTCAGCATGCTTTTGAGATTCACTCTTGTGTGTGTCAGTATTCATCCCATTTTATTTCTGAGCAGTAGGTCACTGTCTGAATAACCCACAGTTATCTGCTCTGTTGTTGGACACTTAGGTTGTTTCCTGTTTTGGAGCATTATGAATAAAGCTACTATGAACCTATTTGTACAAGCTGTTTTGTGATTATGTTTATTTCTTCTGTGTAGATCTCAAAGTGAAATTTGTATATTTCTAACAAACTGCCAGTCTCTTCCTAAAGTGCTTGTACCAGTTTACACTGTCAACGACAATTTATCACAGTTCTGTTAGTTCCACATCCTTACCACCATTTAGTATTGTCAGTATAATATCTGCCATTCTGCTAGATGTTCAGTGGTATAACGTGGTTTTACTTTGTAATTCCCTGATAACTAATGTTGTTAAGCACATTTTCATAAGCATATTGGCTACTCATATATCTTCCTTTTGAAGTGTCTGTTCAAATATTTTATCCTTTTGTAATTGGGTTGATGGTCTTTTTATTATTGAGTTGTAGGAGTTCTTGATAGTTCCTAGATATCAATCCTTTGACAGATATGTTTGATGCATATTTCCACTCAGTCAGTGGCTTGCCAAATCATTTTCCTAACAGTATCTTATAATGAAGTTTTTAATCTTGAGAAAATATAACATTATTTGTTTTTTATTGCTTTCTGTGTCATGTCTAAAAACACTGCCAAGCCCAAAGTCACAAAGATATTATGTTTTCTTCAATAAGTTTTATAGTAATCATTTTTGTATCTATGAATCATCTCTAATTTCTATGGGAAACAGCGGTTGGGGTTCATTTTTAAAAATACGATATTCAGTTGTTCCATCCTCATTTTTAAAAAATAATTTCCTTTCACCATTGGATTACTTTGACCATATAAATGTGGGTCTATTTCTGGGCTTCCTATTCTGTTTCAATGTGATCAGTTTGCCAATATCTTGAATACTGTAGAATTACAGTATTTAGGTCAAGTACGTTAAGTCTTTTTCAAGATTACTTTGGATATTCTGAGTCCTTTGTATTTGAATATAAATTTTTAAATGTTGGTCTGTTCCTTTTAAAAAAATCTACCAGAATAATGATTGAAATTGCACTGGATCTTTATATCAATTTGAGGAAAATGGCTATTTTAACTATATGAATTCTTCTAATCAACAAATATGGCATATCTCTCCATTTATTTAGGTCTTCTTTAATTTCTTTCAGTAATATTTAATAGTTTTTACTGTATAGGTATTGAACATGTTTTGTTAAATTTATTCCTAAGTATTTCATATTTTCAAATGCTGTTGTAAATATAATTTAAAATTTCATTTTCCAATTATTTACTACTAGTACATTAAGATACAATCGATTTTAGTATGTCGATCTTGTATCCTAAGACCTTGCTAAGTTCACTTCTGTGTTCTTGTAGTTACAGATGCCTTAGGATTTTCTACTAACCTGATCGTGTCATCCAAAAATAGACATTTTACTTCCTCCTTTCCAATCTGTGTGCATTTCTTTTTTCACTGCCTTGCTTTACTATACTAATGTACAACGTGAATAAAAGTGGTATGAGTGGACATCTTGCCCTATTACAAATCATATGGAAAAAGCCTTCAATATTTTACTGAATATGATGATAGCAAGAGGTTTTTCATATAAGGCCTTTATCAATGAAGTTTCCTTCTATTTCTGATTTGCTGAGTTTTTCTCATAAATATGTGCTGAATTTCATCAGTTGCTTTTTTGGGATATCTAATGAAATGATAATCTAGTTTTTCCCCTGTAATTAATATGGTGAATTTCAATGACTAATTTTCAAATGTTAAGCCAACCTTGCAATACTGGGGAAAATCTCAGTCATATGTATTATCCTTTTTATAATGGCAGATTAGATTTGCTAGTATTAAGAAATTTTGTGTCTATGTTCATGAAGGATATTAGCCTGTAATTTTCTCTTCTTCTTCTATTTTAATGTCTTTGTCAGGTTTTGGAATCATAGTCATGCTGGCATCGTAAGATGAACTGGGAAGTGTCCCTTCCTATATTCTTAAAAGAATCTGTATAAGATTGGTGTTATTATTCCTCAAATGCTTGACAGAATTCAATAGTGAAACCAGTGAGCCTGGAGTTTTCTCTATAGGAAAGTTTTTCAGGACAATTTCAATTTTCTCAACAGATACAGGGCTTTTCAAAATTTCTACTTCAGCTGGTATCAGTTTGGGTGTTGCCCCCAACTTTCCCACCACCACAAAGAATTGTCATTTCAACTAAGCTGTCAAAGTAATGGAATAAAGTTGCTAATAATATTGCCTTAATATCCTTTTTCCGCACCTTAGCATCCACTTTATGTCTGTTGAATCTATAGTGAAATCCTCTCTTTTCTATCTGATGATATTGGTAATTAGTGTCCTTTCTCTTTATTCTAGATCAGTCTACCTAAGGGTTTATCAATTATGCTACCTTATCAATGAACACACTTTGGATTTTGTTAACATTCTTTACTGTTTGTTTTTTATTTGATTTCTGCCTTTCCTTTCTTCCACTTACTTTGGAGTTACTCTACTTTTTTCAGTTTCTTAAAACAAACATTAGAACAGTGATCTCAGTCCTCAATTTTCCAAGGTAAGCATTTAAACTTATAATTTCCCCCAAAGCACTACTTTAGCTGTAGCGTACATATCTTGACATATTTTTAGTATCATTCAGTTCAAAGTATTTTCTAATTTTCCTCATGATTTCTTCTTTTACCCATGGATTATTTAGAAATGTTTAATTCCCAAATATGTGAAGATTTTCTATTGTTATTGATATTCAATTCTACTGGGGCCAAAGAACATACTCTGTATCATTTTAATCCTTTTAAATATATTAGGACTTGTTTCATGCTCCAGCATATGGTCTATCATATGCCAGCTTGCATCTGCTTACACCTCTACAGGGCCCAAAATCCCTATTGATGGCAATATAAAATGAGTGCCAAAAAATGAACAACAGAACTCAGTGCTCTTCATTTATTCTTAATGTTTAAGATTTTTTTCTTTTTTCTCAATTTCCAAGTTAACAGCAGTATGTTATAGGAAGCATATTTCTTGACTCAAAACTGGAGAAAACTTATACACCAAGTGTGACTTTCTATTTGGAAACAAGCTACAAACTTGATTTATCTCAGTTTTCCCTTAACTAAATGGCAATCATAATGTATTCCTTCTTTAAAGAAAAATTAGATTTATGCTTTAAAGGGCTCTCTGCCTAAATGAAAGTCCACAGGTGTTTTGTATACTTTCAGTTCTGTGGCAAACTAGAAACAGGTTCTCTTCTGTACCATGAGGCACAGAGCTGTGTGCCTCAGGTATGTCAAGGCCAAAACACAAACTCTGTACTTGAATCTAACATGACAGTAGTTTCAAAATCTCATTAATACTCTCTCTCACACAGCTAAACGAGAATACCATCTTCAGTTAGAATAGTATACCTGTAGTTATAGTGAAGTAAATCTCAAACTTAGCTTGTAAAAAGTGGCGACAAAACACTTTTTCAATAGAAAAAATTTTTATGTTACTATTCAAGCTGAACCAAACTAAAAATGGTTATATAAGGTATTATGCTTAGTCTGTGCATGGTCACACATTATGCACATGGAAAGCATTTCTCAACTTTTAAAAGTCAATTACCGTGTTCTTCCTGTCAATAAGCTTCTTCTTGGGTTTCCCCTACAGAAGCAGAAAGGACAACCGGGTTAGAGAATGCTATTCAGGTAGTCTCTCTTAAGTTCACACACACATGCACTCCAGAAATTTTTAATACAGAAATTCAACATGACATTAGGCCAAGGAGGGCATCTTTGCAGAAAAGCAGACAGATAAATTGAGAACATTCTCATAAAAGAGTAGAGTGCTGTGAGCTGGAGGGACATCAATAAAAAACAAAAAAGGACAAATTATAGAGAAAAATTATAATAATTATTTGTACTTGCTTATCTATTTACAAAGCAAACTGCTTATTCATCACAACCACCATGTGAAGAAGGTTGTTAATTCGCTCCATTTATAGAAAGGAGCAGGATAAAATAATTTTTTGACCTGCCATGGCCGGAGCTTAAAGGGCTTACATCTGAGCCTCTGGCTTAGGTCTCAAACTGTAGTGCTCTTTCTACTTTCACTGAACTGTTTTAGGAAAAGAAACCAAGCTCAATTCTCATGGGGTTCAAAAGGGATGCTCATCAGAAATATATTTTCCACAATTAAAAAAAAATCTCTATTAAAAGGACGGGCGCATTGGCTCACAGCTGTAATCCTAGCACTTTGGCTGGCCGAAGCAGGGGGATTGCCTGAGCTCAGGAGGTCAAGACCAGCCTGGGCAATACGGTGAAACCCTGTCTCTACTAAAATACAGAAAATCAGCCAGGCGTGGTGGCGTGCACCTGTAATCCCAGCTACTTGGGAGGCTGAGGCAGGAGAATTGCTTGAACCTGGGAGGCGGAGGTTGCAGTGAGCCAAGATCATGCCACTGCACTCCACTCTGGGCAACAGAGCGAGACTCCTCTCAAAAAAAACAAAACAACAACAACAACAACAACAAAACCTCTATTGAAAAAAGATACTCTCCATTGTCTCTAAACTAAGACTGGGCTCTAACCACAGAAATTGAGTGCTATTCATGTTAAAATAGGCTTTTGTTTTTCTTTTAAAACACTCTCATTCAATTTCCTTTCATTTAACACTCTTAAAAAATTTCTGGCTAGGCAGTGGCTCATGCCTGTAATTCTAGCACTTTGGGAGGTCGAGGTAGGTGGATTACTTGAGGCCAAGAGTTCGCGATCAGCTTGGCCAACATGGCGAAACCCATCTCTACTACAAAATACAAAAATTAGCCAGGTGTGGTGTCATGGGCCCATAATCCCAGCTGCTCGGGAGGCTGAGGCAGGAGAATCACTTGAACCCAGAAGGAGGAGGTTGCAGTGAGCCGAGATTGCGCCACTGCACTCCAGCCTGGGCAACAGAGTGAGACACTGTCTCAAAAAAAAAAAAAAGTCCCCAGTTTTACTTGTACTCATTTATGTACGTGTGTATTTAATTCAGTACATTTTTACTGCCTGTGTAGGTTCATGTATCCACCACAGAAAAGATACTCAATGATTATATCACCATGAAGATCCCCTATGTTGCCCTTTTATAACTACCCATACCTCTTAAACCCTGCCTCATTAATCTGTTCTCCATTCTAAAATTGTCACTTCAAAAATATTATATAGAGTCACATAACATGTTTTGATTTTTTTTTGTAAAGAGACAAATGCAATGTAGATGATATGCAAAGAAAAATCCAGTGAAAAGGTAAGTCTTCACCAAGATGTTTTGTCTTTCCTTTCCCATGTTTTCTATCCATGTTAATGTCCTGATATTGTCAGGTAATCATCAGAAAGTCTCAAAATGATTTTAAGTTTTTCACCCAGATAATGGTTTTCTCCAGTAATTTGCAATCATGACTTTACATTA
Organism: Homo sapiens; assembly: GCF_000001405.40. Taxonomy (NCBI): domain Eukaryota; kingdom Metazoa; phylum Chordata; class Mammalia; order Primates; family Hominidae; genus Homo; species Homo sapiens. The sequence continues at coordinate 75,756,045 of NC_000014.9, read as the reverse complement.
TAATTACCTGGGCAGCTTTTAGTAAGTACCAATACTTCACTCTGGGTGGGGGTGGGGGGCGGTGGGGGGGTGGCCAGGACATAAGCCAGGGTTAAAGCAACTGCCATAGTATAAGACAGTATGTAAGATACTGTTTGCCAGAACAGAGTGGGTAGGTCGGGGAGGAGTCAAGAAGGTAAGGAAGGTAGTCAAAATTAACCTAAAAGAAATGAGTAGAGAATTAGTTTGAAAATGGTCCTAATAATAACAAAATTAATTGGATCTGCAAGAAGGAAAATATCAATTTAGACTGATGAGAGAACAGATTTATTGGAAGATACTAGGACTTGCTACAAACACAATCTCATTTTTTTCAATGCATGTTTCCGTGTGTGTGCCTACCATGTGGTAGGTTCTTGATACTGACAAAGATGAACATAACAAAGTATCTACTCTTAAGAGCCAACCTGGAAAGCACAAATTAGTAAACAGGCAATTATACAATCTGGGAATCTAAATTAGACTGAGGGATAAAAGAAGGGCTGGGAGTACCTCTTTCTAATCTAGGATAGAGGAGGAAGGACAAAGCTAGAAGAATTTAGGGATGGATTGAAGGCCATTCCAAAAGAAGGGGAGTTTGTAAGAATATGGATGTATAAAAGAGCAAGTAGAAATGGCCATCAGTTGGTGTGAAAAAGTGACAATTAGGCTAAAAAGGTAAGCATGGGTAGACCATGAGGGTTTTTCTTAGCTAAACAGGGAAAATTATTATTATTATTATTATTATTATTATTATTTTTGGAGACAGAGTTTTGCTCTGGTTGCCCAGGCTGGAATGCAATGGTGCGATCTTAGCTCAGAGCAACCTCCACCTCCCAGGTTCAAGCGATTCTCCTGCCTCAGCCTTCCCAAGTAGCTGGGATTATAGGCATGCGCCACCAAGCCTGGCTAATTTTGTATTTTTAGTAGAGATGGGGTTTCTCCATGTGGGTCAGGCTGGTCTCGAACTCCCGACCTCAGGTGATCTGCCCACCTCAGCCTCCCAAAGTGCTGGGATTACAGGCGTGAGCCACCGCGCCTGGCCAAATTATGTTTTTTTTAATCAAAGTTTTTAGAATGCTTCATAAGCAGGAGCTGTTAACTGGGGCCTCAAGAAAGAATGCAGGCAATATACAAACTTGGATAGAAAAAAACTTACATCCTCTAACTGAAATTTAGCATTTCCTCCATATAAATGTAGGAAACTATCCACAGTAGTGGATTAATGTGACTTCATTACCAAAAGAAATAATGCATCTTTCTTCATATTATTTTAGAATTCTTACAACTATTTTGAAATACTGTCAATATTTATCACTGTTTGAAATTACGGTAGGTATTAGATCTGCTGCTAGCTCTTACTATTTAATATGTTAACAAAGAGGCACACATATTATTATACCTCAAATTGTTTATTTTTTGCTACTCCTAGGCAGATACTTCCTCATTTTGGCTAATGCAGTGGTCCCCAGAATGCCTACTCTGCCCTCCTTCCCCTTCCTGGGAAATTCAAGTATAGAAAGATCCAGCCTCAAGTGCAGTGTCCATGTCAGTTCAGAAACAGACCTATATAACCTGTGAAGCAAACTACCTGTCTTAAGCAAACAGTTCATTACTTCTAAATATGACTGGACAAAGATCACCATACATTTGCAGATATATAGAAGTTAAAACTAGAAAGAATAAGATGAATAAATACAACTAATCCAGAAGAATTAAAATAATGCAAAAAACAGAAAGGAACTTTAAACAATCTAAAATAGAGATCTGAAAAGACATTACATCCATGAAATACTAAAACTAATCGAAAAGCAAAAATAGTTCTTGTATATTAAAAACACACTTGCCAAAATAAAAAACTTAATTAAACACCCCTATCCTGTGTGGGAAATAAATAACAATATAGATATGGTTGAAGATTAATTTAGTTTTGGAAGACAAAATCCAAGAAATCTCCAAGAATTTAAGGCTAAGAAGCAAAACCAAAAGTTTAAAAACAGTAAAGAAATATGGAGGTTATAGCCAAAATTTATCTAACAGGAATTCCACAAGGAGAGAAAAGAAAGGATAAGGGAAATACTTCCCACAGCTGAAAGACTGAAAGGCCGCACTCACTGCATAACCAAAATAATGAAAAATGACGTATCAGAACACATCCTGGCAAAGTATCTAAACTCTAAAGATAAAAGAAACCTTGTAAAAGTTTTCATAGAGGGGAGGAAAAACCCACAGGTTTTATACATATAAAGAAATGAGATTCTGTCTTCTACGTAAATCCAAAGATCTCTTTCTTTAGAATCTACACAATGTGATTAATCAATCGTAATTACCACAAATTTACAGAGACAAATTGCAAATCCCATGTATTTCCTGATAGTAGATCATGAAATTGCAGATGGTTAAAACATGGGTATCTATTTTAAGAATCCTTCAAAAACGTACATATATCCTCAAAATAATATAGGTTTCTCTAAATAACTAGGGTGCCTTATTTTGATAATCAATTAATGAACTGTACTGCAATGCAGTTATGTTTCAGGGGCTACAAAAGTATGTGGGACTAAGCAGCCCTGATTGCTGTGCTATTTAAATTCCAATGTCTGTTTTCCATCATTTCCATTTTCCCTTGTACTGAGATTATCAGTTGTCATTTCTTATAAAAGTTTCAGTGTATTTATTTTACGAATTACCTCCCCTCCACTTTTTCCAATCTGATAATTCTAGTATCTTCAGGTCTAGAAAAACAGATAATCGTGTCTATTAAAACTGCATCTAAAATATAATGGCACTAAGTAAAGGCCTTCCTTAAAGAAGAATAAAGTTTAAGGCATCTGTTAAAATTGCTCAAAGATCTTTATAGTTAAATTTTTGTCTTTTGGAAATGTTACAAAGTGCTGAGAGTTCATGATAAATTCTGGAAAAATGAGTCATGATAGCATGCTTTCTACAGGACTTTTTTTTCTAGCAGAGATTTTACATAAAGACTTTTATAAGGTCTGTTTCCTTCTTTGACATGTACTTTCTGTTAATCTTGTGATCTAGTCCTAAATTTAAAGTTTAGCAAATCTCTACCTGTCCTGGAAGAGGCGTGTTGCCAGCATATAGTTCATTGAGGTCTTATGCTCGAGGTAGGACCTGAAAAGCAAAGAAAGAAACTGGTTATTTCTTAAGCTAGTTCAAGAGGAAAATGTAGAAATACAACCATGAATCAAGCACAGAAATAACAGGGGTACTTATATACTGTTTTTAATGAAACATACTGTTTCTAAAGTGGCAAAGGAAAAGACAGTTGCTCAAATTTAAATCGTAAGATACTAGAATAGAAACAAATAGAATAAAAAGAATATGGAAAAAGAGGATTTAATGTAGAAAACAGAAAGAAAAACCAGCATTTCTTGGATTAATAATAGGTAATATACTAAATTCAGAAAATAAGACTGAAAGATAAAAGAAAAATTAACAAAAATTTATATATAGGTCAAATGAAACTGGGAATAGGAGATGCATAAAGGGCCTGAAAATGTAGATAAGAGACTGTTTCAATCATGTTATTCCCAAATTAAGAGCTTTCAGTGGCTCCTCGATGTCTACTGCTTAAGGCAAATACTTTCTCTTCCAAACTTTCAAAAGTTGGATCATCTGTAACATCAATTCATTCACACTTTCTCCACACAGTTGCCCAACACGGATCCTGCAGTACAGTCAGCCAAGTCTCCTTAGAATCCTCTTGTCAGAGGCATTTGAACCAGAGCAACTCCATCTTGAACAGGGGCTGGGTAAAATGAGGCTGAGGCCTACTGGGCTGCATTCCCAGATGGTTAGGAATTCTAAGTCACAGGATGAGACAGGAGGTCTGTACAAGATACAGGTCATAAAGACCTTGCTGATAAAACAGGTCGCAGTACAGAAGCTGGCTAAAACCCACCAAAACCAAGATGGCAGTGAGAGGAACAATGGTTGTCCTCACTGCTACACTCCCACCAGCACCACGACAGTTTACAAATGCCATGGCAATGTCAAGAAGTTACCCTACATGGTCTAAAAAGGAGAGGCATGGATAATCCACCTTATTTCTTGATTGTTTAGCATACAATCAAGAAATAACCATAAAAAGGGGCAACCAGCGGCCCTCGGGGCTGCTCTGCCTATGGAGCAGCCATTCTTTTATTCCTTTACTTTGTTAATAAACTTGCTTTCACTTTACCTTATGGACTCACCAGAATTCTTTCTTGTATAAGATCCAAGAACCCTCTCTTGGGGTCTGGATCGGGATCCCTTTCCAGTAACACTCTCTCACCTCCCACTGATCTTTTGCCTCTGACTGGTTATCTTCTCCCCATATCTCCTCTACATCTATACAGTGGTCCTCCCTCATGTTTCAGTTACCCACAGTGAACGAAAGACTGAAAATATTACATGGAAAATTCCAGAGATAATTCATAAATTTTAAATTATGCACTGTCCTGAGGAGCGTGATGAAATCTCATGCATTCTGCTCTTTCCCACCAGGAATGTGGATCATCCCTTTGTCCAGCGTCTCTGCACTGTAGACACTCCAGGCCCATGAATCACTTAGCAGTGTTTGTGTTCAAAGAATCCTTATTCTACTTAATAATGGCCCCAAAAGATAAGAGTAGTGAGGCTGGCAATCTGCATATGCCAAAGAGAACTGTAAAGTGCTTCCTTTCGGTGAAACGGTAAAAGTTCTTGACTTAAGGAAAAAGAAATCACATGCTGGAGCTGCTAAAATAAGAACAAATTTTCTATCCATGACATCGTGAAGAAGAAAGAAATTCATGCTAGTTTTGCTGTCACACCTCAGATTGCAAAAGTGATGGCCACAGTGCATGATAAGTGCTCAGGTGGAAAAGACATTACATTTTGGGGTGGAAGACGTGAGCAAGTGACAGCAGTGTGTCACACCAGAAAGCACTGAGCCCATACAAAGACTTCAGCAAGGGATCTGAAATGAGTGACACCAAGCCATTTACTGCAAATAAGGGATGGTTACACACATTCAGGAATACAAAAGGTCAACAGTAGCCTAACACCACGTCACAATGCCTATGGCGTTCACCTCACTTCATCTCATCTCACTGTACCATCTCATATCATCACAAAAGGAAGGGTAAGTACAGAACAATAAGATATTTGAGAGGCCACATTCACATAACTTGTATTACAGAATATTGTTTTAACTGCTCTATTTTATTATTAGTTACTATTAATATCTTACTGTGCCTAATTAATAAATTTAACTTTATCATGGGTACATATATAGTAAAAAACATAGTATATATAGTTGACCCTTGAACAATGTGGGGTTTAGGGGCACTGGCCCTGCCACAGAGTCAAAAATCCGCATATAACTTTTGCTTCCCCAAAAAAGTTAATTACTAATAGCCTACTGTTTACCAGAAGCCTTATCAATAACACAAAAAGTGGATTAACACGTATTTTGCATGTTATATGTATTACATACTGTATTCTTACAATAAAGTAAGCTAGAGAAAATAAAATGTATTAAGAAAATCATAAGGAGGAGGAAGAAGATCTAGTTGCTGTCTCGGGGTGGCAGAGGTAGAAGAGAATCCATGTATAATTTTACTTCAAATCCATGTTGCTTAAGGGTCAACTGTTTGGTACTGTCCACAGTTTCAGGCATCCACAGGGGCTCTTGGAAGGTATCCTCCGCTGATAATCCTCTGCTGATAAGCAGTTTTCTACTGTACTACACCCTTCAAAAAGCAGGTCAAGTCCACCCTGCTGTACAAAGCCTTCCCTGATATGCCCTAACGTGTCTTTACTGTATGCCTAAGGACCTCTCATAACCTGTGCCTACAGAGCAAACTTTTTGTTCTAGGAAAGCTGTATGATGCAGCAGGAAAAAAGTAGATCTAGATCAGAATATCTGACCCAAGTCTCACTGTGTGGTTACGGACAAGTCACATTGTTTTACTGAGCCTTAGAATCCCTGTCATTAAAATGTGAGTGAAACAATGAAGTATACAAAGTACATTAAAATTACAAAAAGCTATACAAATATGAGCTATTCTTATTATTAAGATTATTATTAGGAATAAAGTAATAAAGCTATTCTTATTATATGTGTAAATAATTTTCCATAAACATACTGTTAACTCTCAACTGACAGGGAGCCCACCTAATATTTATTTTATACACCAAAGAACCAAGCATAATGTAGACATTTGTTGATAATATATGTGTACTAATAAAATAGCATATTTGTTAGTAGATAAACATACCTCCCACATTCTATGTAAAGGCAGTTCAATTAATATTAATTGAGCCTCTTTTCTCAGAACGCACCAAGAGAGTTAGAGTAACTTACCAATGTGATTGGTAATTTAGGAAAAATAAACAGAAAATGATGCACTGAGCACCTCTCTTTTTTCTCCTGGGAGCTAATCCCCACTTAGGAAATACATATCCTCTACTGCTCCTATAGGGTCAGCACTCCCCATACATGGCTCAGACCAACCTTGCTTACAATAGGAATATAAGTCCGTCCAATTCTGAAGCTCAACAGGAAGTGCATTTGCTTGTAGACAGTTACAATCAATTCCCCCAACCTAGACTTTATCAGTAAAAAATACAGTATTTTGGTTTCTATCTATTTTAGTCCTTGTTTTATTTCTCAACTAGTTCAAAACCAACCTAGTAAAGAAAGGTATCATTGTTGGACTTCCTTAAGAGACCTCAAGATTATTTGTAATTGATTCCATAGAAAAAGATACTCAAAGTAAGGTCCTATATCTTGAAATACTCAAAAGTAAATGGTCCCCCTTTCATTAATTAAAAGATACACTTTCTAGGAAATGCAAAAATTCAAATTCTTTAAAAAACATTTCAAAAGATATACATATATATATAATTTTCAAGAAAACCCATGTAATATTTTTCTGTTGAACTCCTAGGTCTTCATAAGGTATAACTACATGAATAGCATATTTTAAAAGATAAAAGGACGATTTCTCTATGAACAGCTAGGTTTTCAAAACAAGCAGGCAAATTTTTAAAAATGGCTTTTTCTTTTATTTCTCTAAGTTCTACCTCTATACTTAGAACCACGAACATCCCAACTAGGTCAAAATGCAGTCACCAGAGGAAGAAAGTGTGTTGCCTATAAACAAGTACAAAGAGTGTCAACCTTACTAGAAATCACAGAAATGCAAATCAAGACCAAAATAAGATATTTTACTCCCATTAGATTGACAAAAATTAAGAAGTCTGACAGTACTGCAATTGGAGAAGATACAGATCAACAGACTCTCTTATGCATTGCTGATAGTTTACATAGCCACTTTGGAAAACAATTTAGCTTTATCTTTTTTCCTAAAGCATTACCTTTTAAAGCTTAACATTCACATGTCTTAAGGCACTGAGCCTATACAAAAACTTCAGCAACGGATCTGAAATGAGTGGCACCAGGCCATTTACTGGCTCACATATTTTAAGGCCCAGTAATTCCACTCCTAGATACATGCCCAGCAGACACATACAAGAATATCTGCACCACAGCTGTCCTTAACAGCAAAAGACCAGAAAGAAGTCAAATACTTAACAACAGGAGAACAGAAAAATTAACAGCAATATAAACACACAGTAAATACAAAAGCATTGAAAAAACTGTACTGTAACTATATGTAACATGAACCTGAATTACAAAATGCTGAATGAAAAAAGCAAAAATACATAGAACATGTCTTTTTTTTTTTTTTTTTTAAGAAAAAGTTTAAAAGTGATTCAAACAAAACAATAGAATTCTGCTTCTATACATGAGAGGATAACTGTTACAGGACACGCTCTCCTACCATAAACAGCTAGAAAAGTTTACAAGTTATTTGAAATAACTGTTTTCAGACATTAAACAACTGGCAGCACAGGACTGTGATCTCTGACAGAGGGAAATACACGAAGTACAACTGCCCTACATTTCTGCCTAAAGGCAATTTCCAGACTACACAGACAGAGAGGAAATGCAAATAGAGCCCAACTGTCTCTGAAAAGAGACAAGAGAAATCTAATTTCTAGGGAGTAGCTAGAATTTTCAGAGCAATGTCCTGGAGAAGAAGTTGTGCAGAAGAAGATATTCAAAAATCATCATGAGGGACCCCTTGAATGTTTGGGTGAATACAAATCTGCTTAGGTATAGGGTGAAAGTCCACAAGGCTGAGCAAAGTGCAACTATCAGGATAAAGAACAAATTAAGGAGAAGGTAAGGTGTAAGCTGAATAATTCCCAGAGCTCACATGAGGTTGCAAATTGAGTTCCCACCAGACAGAATGAAAAGATCTCATTGAACGTGGAGGTAATTTAACAGACACCTCAAAAGACTCTTTAGTGGAGGAACTAACCTGGATCTAGACAAAAAGCTACTATAAACAAACCATAACAATGCTTAAAAATAAGCCTGAAAAAGATAAGCTGATCTACAAGTAACTTAAGTGCCTGACCAAAAAAAAAAAAATTCAAAAGGGTTTAAAGAAGGCAATAAAATCCAAACACTCAACAATATAACATCTGCAATGTCTAGCATTCAATTAAAAAAATTACTGTACATGTGAAGAAACAAAAATGTGACCCATAAACATGAGGAAAACCAGTCAATAGAAACAGACCCCAAAATGACAGATAACAGAAAAAGGTATTTTAAAACATTTATTACAAATATTATAACATGTAAACAAAAATGTAAAGGAAATCATGAACATAATGAAAAAGAGAAAAAGGACACACAAAAACTGATGAAAAATAAAATATCTGAAATGAAAATTTCACTGGGTAGAATTAATAGAGGACTAGGCACTGCAGACAAAATGATGAATGACCTTAGAGACACACAGAAATACAAAACCATCCCAAATTAAGGAAAGCAAGAAAAAAAAAGTCTGAAAAAACATGAGCACAGCCAGATTTGTGGTAAAATATAAACTAAGTTAACATGTAACCAGAGTCCCAAAAGAAGACAGGAAAGGAGAAAATTAGAAAAAAATATTTGAAGAAATAAAGGCCAAAAGGTTTCCAAATTTGAATAAAACTATAAGCCCATAGATGAAGAAGCTCAATGAATCCCGAGCACAAGAAACATGAAGAAAATGACACCAAGGCACATCATAATCAAACTGCTGAAAATCAGCTGTGACCAAGCACGGTGTCTCACGCCTATAATCTCAGCACTTTGGGAGGCCAAGGCAGATGGATCACTTGAGCCCAGGAGTTCAAGATCAGCTTGGGCAACATGGGGAGACCCCATCTCTACAAAAAAATACAAAAATGAGTCATGCACAGTGGCATGTACCTGTAGTCCTAGCTACCTGGCAGGCTGAGGTGGCAGGATAGCTTGAAGTGGAGCCCAGGAAGCCAAGGTTGCAGTAAGCCAAGATTGTGCCACTGCATTCCAGTCTGGGCAACAAAGTGAGACACTGTCTCCAAAAAAAAAAAAAAAAGAAAAGAAAAGAGGAAATCAGTTATAAAGAGATAATCCTAAAAGCAAGCTGGGAAAAAAAGACATTATGCATAGAAGAACAAAGACAATAATTGCTGTATGCTTCTCATCAGAAAAACGCAAGCCTGAAAATGACGAAAAGACATTTTAAAGGTGCTGGGAATTGTACATGAATGGTCACAGCGGCTTTCTTCAAAAGAGACCATAACTGAACACAACCCAAATGTCTACAAAAGATGAGTGGTATATTCTGGTATATTCAACAAATTCTGGTATATTCAAACAATGACATAGTATATAATAATAATAATGAACTATTCTTCATAAACCAACACATATGAATATGAAAAACACTACGCTGAACAAAAGAGTCCAGATACAAAAGAGTACATACTGTATGATTCCATTTATGTGGAACTGTAGAAAAACTGTAATGTCAGAAGGCAGGTCATAATGTCTGAAGCCCAGGGTCATGTGGAGGATTGAATATAAAAGGGGATAAAGAGGGCTACGAGGGTGATGGAAATATTTTATATCTTCATTGTGGCAGTAGCAGTGGTTAAACTGGTGCCTATTGTTGCCAAAAATCATCTTCAAACTGTACATTTAAAATAGATGCATTTTACTGCATATAAACTAGATCTCAATAAAACAATATATTGCTTAGATACACATATAGATAAACAATTTTTTTTTTCAAATCAAGGTAATGATAAACACAAAGTTTAGGACAGTCCCTAACCCTGGGATAGGAAGCTAGTTAGGAGGGAGGCAGAGGATTAAAAGGGAGAAATAATACACAGGTATATTAAATTACTGTCAATAATCTAGTTCTCGGGTTGGATAATATTTATCATATTATAAATAAACAAAATAAGAAAAGCATCATCGGGGGGAGCAGTGATGACAGTGTATCACAATTAATCTAATTCTATGGACCTCAGGTAAAGAATAAAAAAAAAAGGTAGTCACCTCACCCATATATTTCCCATGTCTCAGATGTAGGAAATATGCGAATAAATCCACCTCGCCGATCATTCTCCTCCTTCACCCTTCGTAAAACTTTGATCTAGATGAAAAATAAGATAAAATGAGTACCTATTTTGAAAACCGGAGTCCATGTGGCTATAGGACAAAGGAAGATAGTTATGACCCAAGAATATGAAAGTAGCATGAAGGGAGAAATTAATTCCATTTAAAATGTTCTTCCCTGAGAAAACATTTCTCCAATCTTGAATCTTTCTCTTTTCAATGTAAGACATGAGTTTGTCATGAATATTATCAATCACTCACTAATTTTCACTAAACCCTGTGTTAACCCACAAAAGCCTAAAATGAACTTATCTTTACCTCCTCCATTGACAGACCAAGCACAGAACCACCCAACTTCCCTGGCCCTTTCTCCCGGGCTGAGCCCACGAGGTTTTTCATTTCCGCATCACTGGCAGAGAGTGGACGGCAACGCTAAGGAGAAGAAAATGAAAATAGTAAAAAAAATTTTTTAAGTTTTCATTACTCCTCATTACCCTCTGTTCATTCCCTCAACATCATTATTTTTCTAAAGATTTATAAGCTCAAATTCATAGCCCACTTTCTGTAATTAATCTCAGCCTGGAACCCTGGAAAACAGACGAAAGCTAATAAACTCAAAGGCAAGAGGAGAAAACAGAACAGTAAAAGAACACTATGGGTTGAGAGAGAAAAGAGAAGAAAGAAAGAATGAGGTCCACGTGACTTTCTAAGCTAGTATTTAACCCAAACCTTGGTTTTAGAGCACATCCAATATTTCAAGGATATGGAAAAATCTGAAGATGCCCTCAATAGAAAAATAAATGTGTATTTATTTCAGTGGGTATATTTTTAGCACAGGAGATGAACAATTAAGAGAATTGAGACATAAGACACAAAACCAAGGAACAATCTATTATATCACAAATGAAAAAGTTGGGCTGTGAAATGTTTTACAATTTGAGGGGGAAATATTGAGATGAGAGACATCAGTAACACAGAAAAGAGCTGTGGCCAAAAGGCTATCACTGTGGTTGCTGGACTTCAAGAGGCCTGGCACAAACGTGACTACCCTGGGTACTCCAAGAAGGCAGCCAAATGGGCCCTGTCCATCACTGATCCCAGAAGAGGATCTTGGCTATTTCAGCTTCTACATGATGATGAGGGAGGTCATCTGAAAACACAAGTTTTAAGTGATTTTGATTTTATGCGAGTGGAGAAATAGGAAGGTAAAAAAGGAAGTCAGTATAAAAGCATAATAATACACTATTATTGAAATAGATGAAGTGACAGACAAAAATAAGACAAATCTGCCAAGTACAAAAAGTAAGAAAGAATTCACCCACATGGGTGCAAATTGTCCTCTTGATTCTTAGAAGTAACTTCAACCAGAGAGCAGCAGCCCCATTGTCACGAGGTATTATTTCTCTCTCTCTATTTGTAGAATATCTATTCAAAGGCATTGTGGTAACTAACTTTTGGCCTTTTTAGCAACACCCGTTGTTATGGACTGAATGTTGGTTTCTCTCAAAAATTCTCATGTTGAAGTCCTAACCTCCAATGTGACAGCATTTGGAGATGGGACTTTTGGAAGGTAATTAAAGTCAGATGAAGTCATGAGAGTGGGGCCCTGGTGTAATGGGATTAGTGTCCTTATAAGAAGAGATGGTGGCTGGGCACGGTGGCTCATGCCTGTAATCCCAGCACTTTGGGAGGCCAAGGTGGGCAGATCACAAGGTCAGGAGATTGAGACCATCCTGGCTAACACGGTGAAACCCCATCTCTACTAAAAATACAAAAAATTAGCTGGGCGTGGTGGCGGGCACCTGTAGTCCCAGCTACTCGGGAGGCTGAGGCAGGAGAATGGCGTGAACCCAGGAGGCGGAGCATGCAGTGAGCTGAGATCACGCCACTGCACTCCAGCCTGGGCAACAGAGCAAAACTCCGTCTCAAAAAAAAAAAAAAAAAAAAAAAAGAGCGATGCCAGAGAGTTTGATCTCACTCTCTCTCCCCCAGACCCCAGCTAGTATGTGTACAAAGAAGAGGTCATGTGAGCATACAACAAAATGGAGACCTATAAGCCAACAGAAAAAAGACTTAGAATGAAGCCTATCTTGCCGGCACCTCGGACTTCTCAGCCTTCAGACTGTGAGAAATAAATTTCTGTTGTTTAAGCCACCCAGCCTATGGCATTTTGTTATGACAGCCTGAACAGACTAATATATTCATGTACACAAATAACCAACCATGGATGGTTTTATCTTTGGACACAAGAGAGACCAACTAACCAATCTCCAAAGCTAGCATGGGAGTTATAAAAGCTAAATTTTCTGATTGGCAACTCCATGATGGATATCTATATCAAGAAAACGATGAAATCAACAGATGTAAGCAACATGTGAAGTGCAGGGGCTTTTACTGTGGTATCTTCAACATCCAGAACAATACACTGTACTTGGCATGAAGTCAATCAAGAAATATTGGTTGAACAAACAAATACGTGAAAGTGCTGACATCAATCATGGCTAGAAGTAAACTTTGCAGAAGGATTTTGGGAAATATTTTTACTTCCTCAATCTCTGGGAATAAATTAAACAGTAGATGTTAAAATGAGAGGGTTTATAGGGGAAAGTTGAAAGATTTAGGAAGGAAACAAATATAAATAATATAACCATTGTTTATAAATCTTTAAAAAGTGTGAACACTTATTTAATGTATAATTTGGAAAAAGTCAAAAATATTAAATGGATAGTTTGATGACTTTTCTCATGATCACACACTACTTATTGTTTGCCAAAAAATACTTACCTAGTTCACCCATCACAGCATGTCTCTGATCATAAAGCCACTGGCAAAGCCTGGTGTGGTGGCTCACACCTGTAATCCCAGCACTTTGGGAGGCCAAGGCGGGTGGATCACCTGAGGTCAGGAGTTCGAGACCAACCATGGCCAACATGGTGAAACCTTGTCTCTATTCAAAATACAAAATTAGCTGGGCTTGGTGGCACATGCCTGTGGTCTCAGCTACGTGAGAGGCTGAGGCAAGAGAATCGCTTGGACCCTGGAAGCGGAAGTTGCACTGAGCCAAGATTGCCCCATTGCACTCCAGCCTGGGTGACAAGAGCAAAACTCTGTCTCAAAAACAAAACAAAACAAAACAAAACAATAAAGCCACTGGCAGTCAGTCCTCTACAGTTAAGTAGCTTTCTTACATGACACTATTTAAGGGCCTCAAATCTCAAATTACGTAAAGAGAGAGTAAGAAACAGCCTCAAATCTCAAATTACGTAAAGAGAGAGTAAGAAACAAACATTCATTTAAATGATATAATAAAAATAGGTATCTTTATTAAGCATTTAAGAACAGAAAGAATGTTACTTAGAAGGTTGATAAACTAAAAGCTATATCAAAGGTCAATTAAAAGTACTTAAAGAAAAAGTTATTAACTATTAAACAGATTAAGGAATGCATGGCTGTATTTAAAAGAACAGGGGTCAAATCACTATTGAATGACATCTAATGAGAACTTCCAATTCCTGGGTATTGTTTTTAATGGTTTTTTTAATATTCCTGGCTTCTAGAAATTGAGATAATGATGTGGCAACCTTCTCCTACTAACCTAATGTGGTTTCTGTAACCAATGAATTAGCACCCCAAAACTCTTAAAACTTCTCTGCCAATCACTTTCAAAGACTTGTCTCCCATATACATTCACAACCACTCCTTTGTTACAGCCTACAATTCTAGGTCTAGCTACTGTGTACATTATTTGTGAATGTTTGGGGTCGGGTAGAGGCATGTAGGAATTCAGGTCTGTGCTTCTAGTTGGGGTATTTAAGAGCTCTGAGAAAGGTCTCTAATTCTGTGACCTGAGTTATAGACACAGGTGAAAGAAAAGGTAGAGAAAGAGAGAAGGGAAGAAGAAAGGATAAGATGGACAGAAAAAAAGAAAATAAATGCTTATGAGTGTCAAGGAGACACACTTGGAGATTAAAAACAAAGCAAAGTTAAAAAAAAAAAAAAAGGAATCAGACTGATTTGAAAGGCCACCAAGACTATCAAAAACAAGGGCAAAACAGTCCAAACGCAAGTCATTCTGCAGCTTTGCCTTTGGGCACATCAACTACATTCTCTGGGTGGTAGATATAATAAATCCACATATTCCCATGAGTTGACTGAATGCACTAAGGAAGTAAGGTCCTCTGAACTTAGAGAGGAGAACCATTGCCTCTGGCTAAAAGATACATGATTTAGATATCCAGTGCTCAGATAAATTATAAACTGTCAAATTACTGTCAAGAATTCTGCCATGCAACATGCACCAAGGATAAAGATGAATTTATCAATAGTACAACTTACGATTCAGAAATCTTCCCAGAGAAGAAACCTTACATATCTAACCATCATTGCTAAGGAACAACTGGCTGAAAGTGTGAAATTATTGAGACAAGGAACCACCAGTCTCCACTCAATCAAAGTAGTAAGAAACAGATGTTGAATCAGAAAATGACTCTCAGCCTTTAAAAAGCTGGCAAGTACCAATGATGAGAAGAACTTAACAAAATGTGGAATGGGGAAAAATGGCAAGATATCCTAAGACTATGTCATAATTGAGGGGCAAAAACAAAATTTGCTTGACAGAGAACACATGCAAAGAATAAAAATCTCCCAATGCAGTTTTACAAAGTTTGGAATTCTTCATTAAAAGCAAAGGAACTAGAAATAGCTCAATTTATATGTGATACATTTTACCATCTAAAAAACAACAGGTAAAATCAAGTTTAAAAGTAAAATGAATGCTATCAAATGAAAGAAAACAAATGGAAAAGACCACATTATCAATAAATCTGAATGGAAATGGACCAAAAAAATGGCTTCTAAGAGAAGGTTTAAACATACTGATAATCAGGGTATACTTTGAAATTGGCAGGTGGAGGGGAGAAAGCAAGTAGGCTTGTGTAACAGCATCTAGAAATTTGGAATAAATGTAAGCCAGCAGGTCTGAGAGACATGCATCCTGTTATTAAGGAAATTGGCTTTAAAAACAAACAAAACTTACCCAAACCACTTATAATTATGTTTGAAAAATCATGAAGAACTGAGGAGGTACCAGTTTAGAAAAAAACCAAATGAGGTACTAATCTTCAAAAATGTAAGAAGTATGCTCCTGGTGGTTACTGCCTGGTAAACCTAACTCGAATCCCTAGTAAAATAATGGAACAAATATTAAAAGGAAAAAATCCCTAATAACTTAGAGGATAATGGGCTTATGAAGAATAGTATGAAGAATGCTTTATTTTAAAACATGCTTTAAAAGTTTCATTTTTAGGACAAGATTTTTAAAAGGGGAACTATAGCAATATATTAAATGTCTTTGGATTTTAGAGAAGCATTTGAGAAAATTTCACAAAATTTTTATTCTAAATTATATTTCCAGTTAGGGGTTAGTGCCAGAATATAACACATCAACAAACACTGAAAACAGTGTAACTGCAAGATAAATAGCAGTGAATCAAGTTAGAAAGTGATTTCTGGAATGGGTATTAACTAAGCATTATTTAGAATCTTCATTAACATCTGGAAGGAAAAACAAAATAGCATTTGTGGATGATGGCAAATGTGAAAAACATGACTACAAACAGGTGAATATCAAAATAACAAGAGATCTTGACAATGGGAAAATCAAAAGACTCAAAAGTGTGAAGGGGAGTAAATCTTCTTAGTGTAAACTACATGTCTAGCACTTATCCTGAATATTTTACCTCCATTTTATCATTTCTTCCTCACTGTAACTTCATGTATATATTATTATCCCCATATGACAGATGTGGGAATTGAGCCTCAGAGAGGTAAGAGAACTTGCCCAAAGGTCTAATTGCTAGTTTTTGGCAGAGCTCAAATTTGAATCCAGGTCTATCGGACTGTAAAAGTCCATATTCTTTCCACAGTACCATGCCATACAATTTCTGGTGAGTGGAAAATTTGAACCATAGACATTAAAGAGAAAGGAGAAATATAGAGATAATGGTTTAAAAAGGAAAAGGCAGAAAAAGGGCAAAGGACTAAGAGAATTCACAATCTGACAGCAACAGAAAAAGAAAGCTTGACACAGTCTAACTGGTCAGAACAAAGAAATTTTTTTTTTTACTTAGCTCCAATGAAAATACTGTGAAGTTAAGAGTGCTTCGTTAACAGAAAGACAATGACAAAATAGAACATTGCAAAGTACAATAAAAGTCAAAGAATTCAACATGTATAAAGCTGGCTGAATAAAGCCAGAAAGGCTTTATGTCACGTAAGCAAGTATTCAGATACATTACTACTAAAGAGAGGTCTTGCTCTCCAACAAGCCTATTACAACCTACGGTAATTCAAGCAATGCAACTAGATGTAATGGAATTAAAATTGATAATGAGAAATTAAGATTAGAATTACATATCAAAGGCCGGGCATGGTGGCTCATGCCTGCAATCCCAGCACTTTGGGAGGGCCGAGGCAGGCAGATCGCTTGAGCTCAGGAGTTCCAGACCAACCTGGGTAACAGGTCAAAACCCTCATCTCTACCAAAAATACAAAAAATTAGCCAGGCATGGTGGTGTGCACCTGTAGTCCCAGCTAATCAGGAGGCCAAGGTGGGAGGATCACCTGAGCCCAGGAAGTCCAGGCTGTAGTGAGCTGTGATCGCGTCACTGCACTCCAGCCTGGGTGATGGAGTGACACGCTGTCTCAAATAAGTAAGTAAAAATAAATTAGAATTACCTATCAAAGACACTTCTTTACAGTCAAATGCCACAGGCTATGAAAGAGTACCCCTTTCCTAACGTACTCCTTTCAGTACATTAGTTCCAGGTATATTTAGAATATAAGCTCTTTGAAGTCAACAGCATTATTTTGTTTTGTTTTCTGCCATGGGAGCAACTAGCATACTTAGGTATTTACTAAATATAAAATACTACATATTATAGAGTTTCGAATTCCACCAACTAAGCACCAAAACTCATACTACAGAGCCACATTAATCAGTTACTAAATATTAGACAAGGCATCCAGTAAGTTATTTTTCATTTCTTGGATTCACATAAACCATATAAATCACTTTATCAGAAACAGTAGCTAAGAAAAGTTACATGTCAAGCATTCAAGCTTACCAGAAATTGCATCAGAGAGTACAAACGCCAAAATAAATATACTGGAGCTTTTTGCTAAACAACAGTTGCAGTGACACGTTTATATATGAGAATATCTATATCCCTCATACTAAAGCATCAAATAGCAGGCACAGGACCCCCACTGCTAGCCTATTACTTCAAAAAGAATTTTTTAAATCTGTGCAGAAGAAAGCAATGGTTAATCTCAAATACTGCTAACAAAAACAGTAAGAAAGCAAATGCTGATCATTCAGAAAGAAAGATGTTTGTATTTCAAAGGTAGCATCTGAGACACTATTGTGGCAGAGCTTCTAAGATTTATAAACTGCAGATCACTACATATTTGAAATGTCACCTGTTAAGGAACTCAAATACAACCCTACACCCAATGTGAAAACATTTCCAATATTAAGCTATAGACAACAGTATGTTTCATAAGATGTCTGAAAAAAAAAATTGAAGTTCATTTGTGAACTGGAAAATTTCCTTCCTGGATTATTTTGGTCAAAGTGATAGATATGCCTTCAAGCCCCTGTTCCTCATTTAAATTCAACTGTCTCCATCTCAGTATAATCACTATCAGGAAAAGAGGATCCCTAAGTTCCTGCATCCTCTACTCTTATATCCTATAACCAAAAAGACTTCTATGCATTCATTTTCATTCACTTTGTTATTAAACTGCGCAAAAAAATAGGTACATAAAAATATGTACCATGAAAAACTAAAGCTAAAAAACTTTCCATTTGGAGAATGAAAATAAAATTTGAAGAAGTCTCCAAAAGATCTAGAACTTACCTGCTTGGCCTTTGACGACTGAAACTGTGCAGATACTGGACGCTATAAAAGACAGAAAAATGGAATAAACCCTTATCTTCTCCTAATATGCCTACATTTTCCATCTCCTAGATCTATGATATAAAAAAGGAAAAAATAATCTCCAAGCAGAAACCAAAAGCAAGAGCCCTACACTTTGTGGTTGGAAGGTTAGAACATTTATTTTCTTTCACACTGCTTTCTCCTATGCCATATATATTCCAGCTTCAACTTCTCACCACTGAGGGCACAATCCTACTGCCAGATACTGAAGATCCTGAAGTCAACTAGTCCACCTGACAAACTGGTTTCACACAGTACACATGACCAATCTACAGTTCCTTTAGCCTTTATGTAAGTGTCCTGTAGGCTGCTTATGGATGTAATCATGCCATTACCTACCAGTTGGCAAAACAAGCATTGAACAGATTTTCTAGAGTTTGCAAAGAGTTGCCAATAAAGCTGACAGGCAAACTAAGAAAAGGGACCAATTCATTTAAGACTGGCAATACAGCTACCTCTAGAAGTGAAACTTGGCAGAAACTGTGTTAAAGCTGCACAGAAATGTTCATGATCCTTTATACATAATTCTGTGGTTCTTGCCACAGATACTGCAGGAAACAATTTGCAAAGGAATGTGACTGCCTAAATTAAGTTTTTCTAGTACACCTAGGTTAATCCTCTACTTTTTCTTACTAAAAATTAAAGAAAACCCTTTGATCTCTGATGATGCACTGATCAAGTACAACCCTGGTAACTGATTTTATATTTAATCCAAGATAATAGCCTTTAAAATACAGTACACCCTGTTCCACATCCCAACATTAATTAGGGAATAATTCTGCAGCACGGGGTCATAGATAGGCATAGACTGAATCTAGCTCAAAGACATGTTATGCTTGGCCTGCAAAGTATTGTTTCTAATGAAGTGGCTGCCAATACTTAAAAGTAAGATTTCTGATTTCTCTTGACAATAGCAAGATCTCATAACACCTGGCCCACACTTATGCCTGATAGTAATTAGCTAGAGCACATTAGTAAAACAGCCATCCCTTTCAGATGAGGTATGCACTCTCCAGTTTACCTCAGTCATATCACTCTTGGCTGTTTTATGCCTGCCTCTATTTACTCATTTATATTACCTGCCTGCAGGCCCTCTAAGCATTTGAGTTTGAAAACCCTGTTCTAATAAAAAATTATCTGAATAAATAATAGTATATGGATTTCGCAAACAGAAAATAGCACTACTCCAAATGAGACTAGCAAGCAAAAGGAACAAGAGCAGGAATGGGAGTGGAAGAAGGGAGGAAAAAAGTGAGGAGTAAAGGGTTAAAGTGGAGTTGGGGCAGGGATAAAAGGAGAGAAGAAAAGGAAAGAGAAAATGGGGAGTAGGAAGAAAAAGCTGCTTATGCCTTCAAAGAGCCTACAATCTGGCAGGAGAGTACAGAACAATTTAAAAGCAACAAATCAATGAATGCAAAACAATGTAATATAGAACAAGTAAATAAATGTTAAAATGAAAAGTAAAGGTGACGATGGATTTAATAAGAAAAGACTTCCAAAATGTCTGAGCAGGCAAAGCAATCAAACCAGATGGGAAGAGAAGAGCAAAGTGGATTTTTTTTTAAATAAGAAGAAATGTTAAAGGCCAAGAAACAAAAGTGGAAAATTAGCAGGGTCAAAACAGACAGGGACTGACAAGATGATGGAATGAGTAAATAGAAGGATCAGCTGATTGGTTTAACTGGAACAAAAATGCAGAGTACACAAAGACCGAAGCAATGCTTGATCAAATGATATTTTAGACAAGTATAAGTTTCTTTGGGCTTTTATCTCATTTAGCCTCAATCAATAACTCATGATCATGGAGGGTCCTTTGAGGAGAATTACTTGTAGAGAAGATACTATTTCAACAAAGCATCTTCTTTACAAAGCTAGTCTGAAGATCAGAAAGAATGCAGTAATGACTAAGAATTAATAGGCTCCTTTTCTGTGCCTTGTTTCTGAGCATATCAATCTGAGGCGGAAAAAACGTGATTTTTAAAAACAGAAAGAAGGAAGATAATGAAAAAAAGCCAAGAGAAAAGACAAAACAAAAAACAGGGAGTAAGTTTCTTGGAAAATGTTGAAAGCATAAGCTATTAGCCACAGCTGAATATAACTGCCTCCTGTCTAGAGTGATCCCCAAATTCTCCTGCTCTAAGTGACCTCATACCCACAGTGCTTCTGCTCCCACAGTTACATCAGCCGCCACTTCCCAGTAAGCCTCCTTCAGGCTCCCTGCTGTGGAATTGGCTTACCTGAGGTTTCTGGAAAGGGTTTCGCCTGGAAGACTCAAAGGTGGGATAAATTGGCCGAGTTGATGCCCGCTGGGCAGGATCTTGGCACACAAATCCTGAATGGGGAATGGGCAACATTAAAACCTGCCATTTTCTAAGAAATTAGCAGGTCTGGCTGCACCTTTTCTTTAGATACACAAACTCAGTTTCACTGTCATAAATATCACAGAGATCTATCCTCAGGAGCATAATGCACAACTCTCCCACACACACCCTCTGAACTCTGAACCACCATAACTAGAGAGAAGAAAAGGGAAATCTCCAGATGAATTAACCTTGCTGGTTGGGTAGCTGAAATGTGATTCTGAGTGAGAAAGAGATGTAGATTTTTGAAGAACTTAAGAGTAACCGCAAATTACCATTTTAAAACACACAGTTGTTAATAAAAACAAGTTACTTTAAAGTGGCTACCTGGATGATGACTGGAAAATAAAGTTATTTTTACAAAAGCAAGTGAACAGTCTCATCCTGTTACATGATCTACTTCTGGAACTGCAGAAGGTGGTCTATTGGCAACTTTCAAAATTGGCTTTGTAGATTATCTATGGCTTTGGAAATTGGACTTCAGCTAATTTCACTTACTTCCTAAAAAGAAGCAGATTCCCATCCAGGGAGAATAGAGTAGCTAAGTTTTATAGCATTCGCTGGTACATCAGGTACTAGTTCATTTCAAATATATTTTATTATGTCTTTTTATAGTACCTAAAAAAAAACCAACAAGCCCACAAAATACCCACCTGACTGCGCATCTCCACTTCAAAGTTTTGGCTTATCTACTTAAAATGAGATTTCTTCTTTGGGCTGCTTTGGTTATAACTACTACAGAAGGGATCACGTTGAGACCAGTAGAGACTGTCTAGCAGAAATATAGCCAGTCTCCTTTGCAACAAGGCTTCTTCAGTGGGTTTTACTTTCCCAGCTTGGAGAAAAATACACTTTCTCCAGATCTTTGCTAATTCTCTTCCTCAGCTCCTAATTCCTGTGCCTCAGGTCTCAGCCTTAGTTGTGGTTCAGCCTCAGGACAGGATGGAGCCAAGTGTCGTAGAAACATATAAACATTTCCCTGAAAATATAATTTTTTAGTACAAACCATTCAGCATGGCTTAGGACCTGCCAGTTGGCAAAACCTATGGAGTCTGATAAAATGGACGCTCCGGTTAATTTTTATGTGAGTCCAGTTCAGAAAATACTACTACTCACCTACAACAGTGAACATATCTGAAATCATACTGGCTTTAATCTTTAGGTCCAGAGGCGCATCACTAACAGAACAGAGAAAGAAAAGAGCAATTGATAAGTGTGTAGGTTAACAGAATAGCCGCCCTCTGATGGGTCCCAATATAGCAAAGTTTCCAAATGTCAATGAAGAGCAACACATAAAGCCCATAAAATCCACGGGGGCGGTGGGGGAAAAATCCTGGGCAAAAATATGAGAAATGAAATCCTGGTGTTAAATTCGTCCTCTGTAATGCAAACGCAGCACCATCCATTGATTCTCTAACATGCAATTTTCTTTATACCAGAAGGTCTTGTGCAATTCAAAATTTGCACAAGTCAAGAATACCACTTCATTAAAACTGTGGATTTTAGAGGTTCAGATTTTCAGTATGCTCTTTTATGAGTATGTCCACCACCATTCAAATTACTTTTTGCTGCTGCAACAGTCAAGTCACATTCACACGCAAGAGAAGCAACTCTGGCCACACTGGTACTTTTTAAAGTCTTTATTGTCTGCTCTAAAACAAATTTCTTAGGCTTGCAGGCTTGCAAATACGGCAAAAAAAGAAAAAAAAAAATACAAGTTATACCAAAATCTCACCAGATGGGCGGGAACCCACATGAAAACAAAAACAACATCGACCAAAAGCAAGAGGCCTCCCTGCGGCAGTGACGGCCACGGTGGCTTCAGTGCTGAGGTGTTCCTCCATGAACCAAACTGCTCTGGCCGCTATACTCAGTGCCTCGTTCTGGGGATTTCTCACTTTTAAAGTATAGTATAATATACTTTACTGGGCAACCTGCAAAAGGCTGACTTGACGAAAGTTGCATAACATCTGAAGCATCTGTAATATCTAGCTCTACACCTTACTATGGAGGTTAAGCCAAACTCCCACTCCAAAAGTAGTCAATCTGTCTTTATTTGATTCCTTGGCATTTTGCCAATATCTCTCATCCTTAAAAACTCAGCAGCTGGGTGGTCTTTGGCATAAATCTCTAGAGTTCTCAGTTTAGAGAAGTGTACAGCGAACAGAAATTCTGGCTGTAGCTGCAAATATAATAAGAATTTTCCCTGGTATTGAAAAATATGTTTCTTTTCTTCTAAACAATAGGTTAGTAAAAAAAAGATTTTTAAGTTGTTTGAAGTTTTTGACTTTAAACTTGGATGACTTTAAACATGAGACAGGGTAAAAGGACCACATATTATCCACATGGCCCTAGATCCAGGTTTATACCTTTATAGTGTATGTGGATTTGAACCTGTAAAACTTTCGGTAATGAAGGAAATACCTTATGTATTTCTTTACCCTTAATAGAAGACCTACTATTAAAAAAACTACAGGGATAAAACTGAATGCAAGAATCATCCCTTAGAAACCTAATAAACAGGAATGATATAATTGTAAATTGACTAGGAAGACAGAGATCCATGGTTGTCATATGCACTTTGATATTATGCCATAAACCAGCTGATTTAAGAAAGTCTGGTTATCTCCACCTAATAACTAGGAAAAAAACAGTCTTCTAGTGCCAAGAGAAATGATCAAAAAAAAAAAAGTGCTTTAAGTACTACTTGAAGATTTGTCCTTTTTTAGTTGATGGAACTGACTTACCAGGCCAAAGAAGGAGAGAGATTCACTTCCAACAACCATGGCTTCAGAGTAGAATCTATGAGCACGTCAAAGCCATAGAGTTCTAGAAATACAACACAACACAATACACAAGATCATTTTCCATGTCACAACTACACAAAGATCTAGAAGACTCAATCTCATTAACTCCCAGGCCTAGAAACTCACTGAGTGTAAGTAGCAAGTGGAAGTAGAAGCAGAGAATCTTTCAAGAATCTTTCAAGTTCAAGAGAAATTAATCAAGTTCTAGGAATAAGAAAACAATGCTATAAAATTCCACTGTTTTTATCATGCAGTGTCTATTGATGTTCCTAAATCCTACATAGAAAGCGACCTGACTCTAGAATAGTTAACAAGCACGATTCTGCTGTGCTTATGGGCGTAAAAAAAAAAAAAAAAAAGAGGCGGGGAAAGGAATGAAACAAGCACAACCAACACCAACACTGCTGTAGGCCTTCTCTGAATTTCCCTTCCCCAATCCCTCCCTGCCAACTTTGAAAACAGAAACATCTCCTGAAGGCATTTCTCTAGAATCCTTCCATCACATTTTCTTAAACCAAGATATTGCTTTTGCAACTTAGGTCAAGAAGACATATAAATGTATTTATTCTTTCCCCTCTCCTACAGTTTCAATTTCCCTTTGAAGACAGAAAATAAAACACTCTAGCCCAACATGAACCAAAAGACAGACAAGGAAAGAGAAATCAGTGGTAGCAGAGCACAGGTGTGACAAGGTATCTTTGCACTACTAATATTATTTAAGAAGGGTAGGAGCCAGAGATCAAGTTTATGGATTCTGTATTGATTCTCTTTCTCTACCTTCCCAACTGTTGCAAAGAGAAAGCAAGACCCAGAAGCAAGTGTTCTTCCCAGAATGCCTGGTTTCATTTAACAAGTTCAGGGATGAGAGGTTAACTTTGAAACCCTTCTTATTATTACTGAGACTTCCTCTACAAAAATCACGGTAATGTACAGTCCTGTGTGTGTGTGTGTGTGTGTGTGTGTGTGTGTGTGTGTGTGTGTGTGTATGTATGTGTATATTTATAGCTATATCTATATATATATAAAACATCACTCCTAAACATCCCATCCTGTGACCCTCAAAAAAACTGCTTATATTTTTTCTCTAGAAGTAAACACTACCACACTACCTTCCTTACTGTTTGATCAGAGGTCACAGACCAGAGCTCACACCCACAGAACACAACGAGGTATTTTCCAGAAATTAATTCTGATACAAATTTCCTTGCTTCAAGAAGGATTTTTAAATTTCTCAATACTCTCAGAAAACAAAAAAATAGACTCTAAAAAGATGGCCGCCAAAACTCTCTTCTAGAACACAGGGAGTCTGAAGTTACATGATGTATTAAGAATCCTAGAATGAGGCCGGGTATGGTGGCTCATGCCTGTAATCCCAGCACTTTGGGAGGCCGAGGCAGGCAGATCACGAGGTCAGGAGTTTGAGACCACCCTGGCCAACATGGTGAAACCCCGTCTCTACTAAAAATACAAAAATTAGCTGGGCGTGGTGGCAGGCACCTGTAATCCCAGCTACTCAGGAGGCTGAGGCAGGAGAATCGCTTGAAACTGGAAGGTGGAGGTTGAAATGAGCTGAGACCGCACCACTGCACTCCAGCCTGGGTGAAAAAAAAAAAGAATCCTAGAATGGGAATCTAGAGACCTTAGTTGTCCCCATGATTCTACACTGTGGAACTTGGGGAAATCATTTCTCTCTCTGAGATTTCTTTGGCATCATTTGGTTTCCTTTAGCCTCTTTATTAATCACTGTCAATATCTGGATGCTATTTACAGATATATGGCAGTATGAACTCAGACATTCATATTCTAAATCCTCTAGGGAAAATTTTCCATGAATGAGTTGGCTTCCATAGTAATTATATGGGATTCCATTTAATTTGCAAAAATCATCACAAACTATACAAGAGTTTGAGATGGGATCACCTTCAAGTAACTATACAAAATTTATACATTGCCTATACATTAAAACGTAAAGAAAAGGAAGCTCTTTCATCTCTTCTTTTCGCAATGAATTCATAGCTTTTAACAGCTAATACATTCTTCTCAATAGCTGATCTAATCTTCAGTAATCTTTTAGAATATTGCCCCTTTAACCTGAGAAAAAATCATCTGTGATATAGCACTAAATAAGGCATTTAAAAGGAAAAATCTACTTGCAAAATCTACAAGTCTACATAAACATTTTATAAGCAAGAGAGAATACAACATTTGATTGACGAAAAAGAATATTCTCTTCATTGTTTAAAAGCTGAAGCACAGGATTCAACTGTTTCATAAAGTGGTAATATTATTAAAAGTAAGAAGAACAGGGTGAAAATAGTAATTGATGCACATATTGATCAGGTTTACAGAATCAGCTACAAATGAAGACAAATTCAAATCAGATTAACAATCAATGAAACCCACTATTTAAGTATCTTGCATTAAGCAGCTACAGGTTTACTTAACCATTTCCCCAAACCAGAGGCAAATTCCAAGAATCTCAGTTGACAGGCTGAGAACCAATATTCTGGGAAATATGAGGGGGGAAAATGACCTAGAGAGAAAACATCCTTCACAAAGCTAAATTAATTTTCATTTGGATGAATAAATCTTGTTACTGCTAAACAACCTCTACAGAGAGGGTGCCCAAACTAAAAAAATCCAGCCTTGAATCTAACTACATCTGTACACATACCAGGCTTGGACCTACTATCATTTAAGAGTTGGAGAAGAAATATATATTGGTATGTGACAGCATTATAACATAGTGCAAAACCCAGCTCACCTCAAAGGCTGGCATTGGTGGGGGGAATGGGGTGGAAAGATTGCTTCTGTATCAGGTTTTCCTCTTTGAACACAATCAATTCAGCTTAAGAAAAATAATTTGGGTCCTTGGCAGGCAACTAGAGTCCTTAAAGAACCTTTTAAACTTACTATTGGTATTTGGTATTTTCTATGGGCATTGAAGATTTTAAAAGGTAAAGAGTAGGTTGTGCTGAGCATAATCAACTTCCTCATCTTTTAATATTGAGTGTTTTGGCAGCAGTAACGAGAATTTTAAAAACTCAGTATCCACAATGAGATACACCAACTTTCCTGTCATGAATGGGTGCAAGCTAGCTGGGCTTTTCCAGTTCTGAGAGCTCCTCTTTCTGTGTTGTCTTTATCATGACAGAAGAGCAAGTGTTTTCAAAGGACTATTGCATGCCTTATGGAACATTTCCCCAGGACAATTTTCCTTAGTAAGAAATATTTCCTTCAGCCCCTAGCCAAACCAAAGCAAACTTAGCTTCCTACCTCTTTAATAGGGTTCCTTGAAAAAGCAATCTACACTTAACGTCTGAACTTCTTAATACCTATTTATTCCCAGCCCTAAGAATTTGCTTCTGCTCCCTCTCTAATAACTGACTGTTCTCAATATGATCACCAAAGACTACCTTATTGCTAAGCCCAAACATCTGAAACTGATGACCACCCCTGACTTACTGGAGCTTTCTTCTCCCTTGGGTTCTAGGACACTGCTCTCTTCTGATTCTCCCCTTTCCACTCCTCCTTTCCTTCCTTCTCTTCTACCCAGATATTCAATGGTAGGTTTGCTCAGGGTGACACTCTCAGGTCTCCTTCCTTCTCAATTCTAGTTTTCTCCTTAGGCAATCTCAGGTATTCTCATGGCCACAATTAATATGACGATGATGATGATGATGATAATATTCAAATCACATCTTTAGCCAAGTGTCTCCTGGACACCAAATCCATAATTCAAATTGCCTTTTGGACATCTTCACTAGGATATTCCACAGGTATTCAACACTCAACAAAATAGCCCTTGTTTTCTTTCCCCAAAACTGTTTGGTTTGCTATTATTCTTCATCTTGGAGAATGGTAACCCCATCCACCAGGCTCCAAACTAGAAACACTCTCTTACCACCTCCCAAATACAAGATATCACCAAATCTCTATCTCTCTTTCTTGTCTTTAATCTTTCTCTTTAGTCTCTTTTTCTCTCTTTTTTTTTTTTTTTTCTGAGATGGAGTTTTGCTCTTGTCTCCCAGGCTAGAGTGCAATGGTGTAATATCGGCTCGCTGCAATCTCCACCTCCCAGGTTCAAGCAATTCTCCTGCCTCAGCCTCCCAAGTAGCTAGGATTACAGGCACCTGCCACCATGCCTGGCTAACTTTTGTATTTTTAGTAGAGATGGGGTTTTACCATGTTGGCCAGGCTGGTCTCAAACTCCTGACCTCAAGTGATCCACCCTCCTTGGCCTCCCAAAGTGCTGGGATTACAGGCGTGAGCCACTGTGCCCAGCCAGTTTCTTCCTCTTTAATCTCTTTAATCTTCTCTATTCCCTTTTGAGGTATAATTTACATATGATGAAATAGTTAGATCTAAGTGTACAACTTGACAAGTCTTGATAATTGGACATATCCATGTAACCCACATGCCTGTCAGCCCACATAGAATGTTTCCATCACCCCAAAAGGACTCCTTGTGCTGCTTCCTAGTAAGTATCCTGCCCTTTCCCCCATCCCTGACAACGACTAGTCTTATTTCTTTCATCACAGATTAGTTTTGCTTATTCTAGAATTTCACATAAATGGAATCATATGGTATATACTCTTTTGAGTCTGGTTTCTTTCATCTACCATGTTTCTGAGGTTCATCCATCTATCATTGCTTTTTGTTTTCAGGCAGATTTATCAAAGTCTAATTTACATACAATAAATTCACCCTTTTAAAGTATACATTTTGGTGAGTTTTGACAAATATATGCAGTTGTCTAACACCACCACAAGACATAGGACAATTTTAACAAACATTCCCTTGTGCCCCTCTCCAGTCGCACTCCCACCCTCAGCAACCACTGATCTCATTTTTGTCTGCTTCCTGCCTTTTCCAGAAAGTCAAATAAATGAAATTAATGTAATATGTAGTTTCTTGAAACTGGCTTCTTTCACTTAGCATTGTGCTTTTGAGATTTATCTATGTTGTTATACATACCAATAATATAGTTCGTTCCTTTCTCTAGCTGAGTAGTATTCCATTATATGGACATACCACAATTTATTTACCCATTCAACAGTTGATGGACATTTGGATTGTTTCCAATTTTTGGCAATTATTAATAAAGCTGCTATAAACATTTGTATACAGATATTCGTATAAACATATGGTTTCGGTTCTTCTGGGAAAATACCTATGAGTGGGACTACTGGGTCATATGGTAAGTATATATTATCACTGCACACCTCTTACCACCTTAGTCATTTCCCTAGCACTTGCCTCTCTCAATTGTAGTCCATTCTTCAAGGCCATGAGAATTATACTTTTCTTAGAAAAACAAACTTAGCAGTCACATAGAGGTAGGCAGTGAATTGGTCCAACAACAGAAACTAATGTCAGCTTGGTTCCTAGAAGATTTTAAGTCAGTCATTGCTAGTAATATTGTACTGTATTCCCTTTATTGTAATTCTGTCATCCTAAGCTTTGGATTAAATTATGATAAAAGTTAAAGAAAAATAATAATAATCCTATCGCTCCCCTGCTCAAAAACTTCCAGTGGCTGTCTGTTAGCTACAAGATGAATTTAAACTTGTCAATTCTTTATATTCTGGCCCAAATCCACCTCCATAACCCTATCTTCTATTCCCCCATTCTATGCACGCTATATTTAGTCATACTTCTTACCATTTCAAAAAATATCACATCCTGTCATGACACTGTATGTTGCATACTACATTCTTGCTGTTAAAAATGGCTTTCTGTGGATCCCCTAGGCACAGCTAGTAAATCTTATATATTCCTAGAGCACCTGAGTCACTTATACTACTTGTAATGTCATTTATCATTTCATGTCTGCTCCTCCCTATCACTTGAGGGCAGGGTCCATGTTTCATTCATTGTTGTATTACAAGTAGCCTGCACCATAACTAGCACATAGGAAATACTTCAGAAATACTGAATGAAAAAAATATATTTTAAGTGAAAAACAATGCATAGTTTTTGAGAAAGACAAAATAATTGGCAGCCACTTCCTACAAAATAACCCTGATCACAACACTTGAAATATTTATAATAAAGCCACCAATCATAAAGAAAATAAGAGAGATTCTTAGGAAACTTTACATATTAAAGCTGTATTAAGAAAAAACCTGATAAAAGTTAGTTTAGGGAGAGAGGAGGAAATAAAGATTTTCTCAAGAAAATAATAATCCATCCAAGGCCTAATAGATTACTAAACATGTCACACCACTAATTTTGGATCAATCCACTAACTCTCCCCAGAAATAAAGTCCCAGCTGAAGCTGTGGTCCCTGAGGCAATGGAAAGTGCTGACATTAGCCAGAACTCACTGTCACTGAAATGCTATTGTATGAAGGAAATTCTTTTTACCTTGGCTTTGGATTCAAATTGAAAAAGCTAAAGAGGAAGTCTTTATATGGGGTCCAGAAGGAGAATTTTGGAAAAAAGCAGACCCACAAGAAAATGAAAAGAAAATGCCCACAGCCAATTGGTTAACTAGTCCAAGAAATCAATATGCTATCTGGTTACCAGATGTAAAGGTAGATTTGAAAGGAGTATTTAGGACTGGGTATGCTTAACTAGAGCAAAAGGAGTGTCCTTTTCAGGCCTGATCTGCTAGAAAGGATGATATCATTTTTCCTGAGTATCTAGTTACGGGAGAGCAGAGGGAGAATCCAGGATATGGGGCATGCCAAAAGTGGCCGGACTCATAAGGACATGTCTTTATGTGGGTGGAGAAAGAGCCAGAGAGAACTGGCTCCCAAATTTGGCTTTGCCATTTATTAGCTGCATGACCTAGGACAACTTATTTAACCTTTCTGAATCTTTTTTCCATGTCTATAAAACACAGATAATACCAACCAAAATTGTCGAAGACTAAAAAGAAATAACCAGTGAAACCAAATTAAAGGAAATAACCAATGTTTGCTTGATAAACAGTAGATACTTCCTACATAAGTTTCTTCTGTAGTAAACTTCCTTTCCCATCTAAACAGGAGCATATGATAAACCAAAAAAGGAGATTATCTCAAAAAGTGAAGAGATTGATGACTCTCATTATTTTTCTGTGGGTGGCCAAGTAGTTTACATTGTTGGAGAATGTACACTGCCTGCTTTCATTCCTCCAACAATTATTTATGGACATCCTCCCTATAAGAACCTCAGGTTACCCTGTGAAATGGTCAAGAATGGCAGCAACAGAAAACCAAACCAGGTATCGTCAACACAGAGGTGTACTGGGCATGGCTGGTGCGGAGCAAACACGTCACTGGGCTCTGATCAGAACAAGTCCAGGCTGATCAGTTCTACAAGTGGCTCCACAACTTGTCCCCATGATCCCAGGCCTGGGTCACAACCCATGACTTCAGCCATGCTAATACACAGAGATAAACCCACTGTCAGCAGCAACATCTTTAAAGAGCAGCGAACATCCTGTTGTTTTTGGCTGTTTTTCTTCAACTGATCCAAAAGCTATTCTCATAGCCAGTTGTATCTCACAATGCCAATTTCCTAAGCATATTTAAAGGATTGCTGTTTAAGCATATTATTTCACATGGTACCATATTTTCACGATCTTGGAAGGCAGTAAAAATTAGATTGTAAAAAATCTGTCTTATTGAGGGAGGCATAAAAAATTCTATAAATCAAAAGTCTTATGATCAAGATTATCTGATTGCCAAAACCCATCTTCTGAAGCCCCATAGATACAAGCTGAGTCATTTTGACCTGAGTTATTTCACTCACTAACTCTAGAACCTGGAACATAGAGTTCATTTCTCAGGGTTTCAATTTCTATATCTGAACTAATTATTCTCTAAGGTCCTTGCCAGATGTGCAAATCTAGGAAAAAGCATTAAATGACAAAGTTTCGGGTAGTTTGTATAGGTTCTCAAGTCTACATTTAAACACTAATAGTGCAATGGAGGTATATATATATCTATATCTGTATCTCATCCTACATAAAATTTGGTTTGAGAGGAACAAACTTGATGGTAATACACTGCCGAAAGGCTAACCTATGACTTGCCCACAGCAGGAACTGAAGAAAAATTAAATGTATAAATAAATAGGATGGGATATTGAAGATACCTGGAAACATAGTTGAACATTACAGGTGGTAGGATGGGAAAGAAATCATAGGATACAAACACTGAGATAGTAAGGGAATGCCCCTGGCAGAGATCCATAAGATGGAAGGACAGGAACAACCACCAAAAGAATATAGCGAACCCCATGTCTGGTCTGTTGGTTTCCCCTAAAAGCACCAATGCTCTGTTTGAGCCAAAATCTTCTGGGAAGCTTTCAATTCCTGTTTACTCTAAAATAAATGGAAAAAAAAAAAAACAACTAGCTTATTCCTTGTGACTTAAACCCCAGGGGAAGTTAGGAGTCAGTGGGAGGCAGAGACTCATACAAATATACACACGTATACAAAATCATATCTGATGGGATGAGGTTAATGAAGCACACAAAATCCCAGGGCTGACAGGAAGTGGAATTAGAACCACAAAAGCCAAGAAGATAGTCAACAACTTAAAAAACTCCAGATGCACTCAGTTTATTAAAACTGAACACAAGTAGGGAGGAAGAAAGGAGACCCATGGCTGATGAAATGGACTTAAGGGGTATTTCACTGAGTCAGAGAAAGTCACAGCTTCTTCCACGTCGGAACATTCTATTGCCAATAAGTTCAATAATGAAGCTCCCAAGCTTCCAAAAGGCAATCAAGTTATAAAACAAACAAACAAACAAACAAAAGGAAACATTCAGAAAAGGTTTTATAATTATTTAGAACAAAGATTTTTACAGCAAGGGATATCAGAAATTTACCCTCATATAAGAGCCAAGTAGATGTAGAAAAATAAACCTTTATTTATTATTTAAATCTAATGAGGTTTTGGAAGTTGGAGTTACGCTCCTAGTCCCAACCCCTCATCCCCATCTTCAAACAGTCTGCAATAATTCTAAGAGTTCTAGGCCATTACCAAACCAGATCCATTGGGAAGTCTACTGTCAGGCCACCAAAAAGCAATTAAAGCAAGTGCCAATCATTCATTCAAGAAACATTTCCTGAACATTCTCTAAGAGCAAAAGACGCTGACATGCAACTGGGTATGGTGGCACACACCTATAGTCCTAGCTACTCGGGAGGCTGAGGCAGGTGGATCCTTTGGGCCCAGGAGTTCAAGGCCAGACTGGGTAACGTAGTGAGATACTGTCTCAATTTAAAAAAAAGTGCTGCCATGCATGGTGGGGGCAAAACTGACGGAGATATTCTTACTGTCCTCAAGGAGTTTCCAGTCGGCTACAGGAGACAAATATACACATGACTACCAGACAACATACAGATACTATTGTAGAGTTACAAACAGAGTGCTGGGGGTATAAGGGCAGAGCAGGCTAACTCTGGGAGCATTAGAAAAAAACATCACCAAAGAAGTGACACTTGACTTTGTCTTGAAAAATGTCTGTAATTTATTAGGTAAAGTAACACAAGAAAGGTATTTCAGACACACGGTAAAACAGGTGCAGAGGTAGCAAGCGAGGGCTTACATGGTAGCTCATGCCTGTAAGCCCAGTATTTGGGGAAGCCAAGGCAGGAGGATCACTTGGTACCATGAGTTCAAGGCTGCAGTGAGCTAAATACGATTGCGCCATTGCACTCTAGCCTAGACAACAGTGAGACCCTGTCTCTAATACAAAACTAAAAAAAAAAATTTAAAAAGGGGACAAGAGAAATGTTGAAAGCTCTGGTTTGGCAGAAATAGGGTGAAATGGGAAGAAAGGACACACTGGCTGTTATGAATTCAAGAAAATAAACTCAGACACGGCTGAGTGTATGTATAAACAAAACATCATGATGTGATAGGAAAAGAGAATGATCAAACAAGCACAGAAAAGCATAATGCATAGTGAGGTCACATTTCTACAAAAAGTTTTTTAAACAATTAGCCAGGCATGATGACACATGCCTATAGTCCCAACTACTCGAGAGGCTAAGGTGGGAGGATCACTTGGGCCCAGGAGGTGGAGGCTGCAGTGAACGGTGATCATGCCACTGTACTCCACCCTGGGCAACAGAGCAAGACCTTGTCTCAAAAAAAAAAGAACAGCATGAGGGAGGAGGCAATGTGGAGAACTAAATCTTAGAAAAGAAATGGGAGCATGCAAGGCAGAGACAGAAGGAGAGTTTTTAGGCCAAACAGCAGAACTCATACAGTGGCACAAAAGCACAGAGTGCTTAGAAGTATACTATAGTACAGCTGGATTATAAGGTATATGAGGGGAAATGGAATTCTAGAAGAGTTACCTGAGTTACCTTAGAAGCCTTTCAGGTCATATCAAGTTTCTATTATACAATTTAAGCCTAAGGAACCATTTAAGGATTTCAGAAGACATGATCAGATATGTATTTTAAAAAATATATTACAACCTCTTCTTTTCCCATATAATTTTAGGTCCTGATTTATCTACCATCTTCTATTCAATCTCAACAATTCCCTTTGTTTACTGACCCTCAAATATAGCCTGTTAACGATAATCTGTTAAAGAGATCAGGAATTATGATGTCTAATTACAAAAATAACAAATAATTTTTATTGAGTACAACGTAAGGGCCAGACATTGTGTCAAGTGCTTTGCGTGCATCATCTCATTTGATCTTCATGGTATTCTCAGGAGGTAGACACCACCATTACTGCCATTTTATAGTTGAGGAAACAGGATTAGAGTAACTTGCTGAAAATCACAAAACTAGATATGGATATACATGGTTACAAACTAAGGCTGTTAGGCTCTAAAACCCATATTCTTTATTTCCCTGTTACTCTGCCTTCTAACCAAAGCACGACTCTCATATCCTTACTACCTGTATTACTCCACACCACACTTTAATCATCCTCCCCATCAAAGACCCTAGTGTATTTTACTAACAAAGCCTAACACTGCCAAAAGCCTATGTGACTTTAAACACATTCACATGGGCAATCACAAACCCATTCATTTCCACATAGGAAGCAATGTCCATAGGCACCCTCAGTGCTACCATTATAGCTAGGGGGTCAGTAGGTAACATTTCCTGATTCTGTAGTTGTGAACTGCTTATTCCTTCTCTGTGCAGTCAAGGAGTTGGGGGTGGAGTGGAAGGGGAGGAGAAGAGGAAGAGAAAGAGAAAGAGAAAAGAAAGTGGAAGAGGAATGGGAGAAAGAGAGGAGGGGGAGGAACACACTAGAAAGAAGACTCAAACAAAAAGGAGGAGTCATCGGAAAATGGGAGAAAGCACATACTGGTACCAGCCAGAGCTTCTTGGAACTGTTCCCAGCCTGGCTGCCAAGGAGCTCTGGAATATATTTGTTAGAGCTGGATTCCTGTACAGTCCGTTGCAGACTTTTTCTGACTGCACTCTGACAGAAAGACCAACACGTTCGTTCCAATCCCTGCTTCCCACACAGAAAGCTAGTTACTCCTCAGGGGACTTCTGACCAAGCTCACTATTGGCCTCTTAGTAGGCTCTTCATATGCTACATGAGCTTAGAAAGAAGAGTCCATCACATACCTCTTACTGCTATAGAATCACTAAGCCTCTCTACCCTAAAATCCCGTCCAACTTCCCAAGATCCTCTTCACAAAACATGTTAAGCTTCTTGAGTCTCCTTACCAAAACAACTGCTGCGATGAGGAACAAAGGTTTTACAGGCAGTAGCAATAGCTAGTTCAGCAGAGATTATAGTCTTAATGATCAGGTCTTCTACATGGGCCATCAATGCTGCAAACAAAAATTTTTAAATTTCAGACTCAATATCAAAATACATGGATTATGAACTGGATTCCAGATAACAATATAACTATAAAAGCATGTGTGCTCATTCAAAAAAGCCTCTATATGGCAGACTTCTGAATGGGTGCTATAGAGGCAGGCATATCTGTGAACAGATCAATACAGTCAAGAATGTAGGTGCCAAGGGATACCCTCAGGTGGCCTCTTATGACAAAAGACAGACACATAATGGAATAGGAGCCTCACTTCCCTTCTCACACTTCCCCTATGACCCTTTCCCTTGTGAAATGAAAAGTCTTTTTTGGCACACAGTTTCCCGTTCTGCTCAAGGCTCAGCAATTGTGTCCATTTTGATTTGAAGCCCTGTGCTCAAACAGTGCCCATTCTCCAACTCAGCAACATGAATGAGAGAGATTAACTTAGAAAACTCGAAACTTGGGGCCAATATGGAGACAGGCAATTTGTTATATAAAAAGCTGACCATATTTTAGTCAGCAGTTCAACATTCAAGAAGGGTAAATTCACTAAGGATTAAAAGGAAAAAGTTATGTCTTTCAGACCCGAAACAAGAAAAGGGATTTTGAGGGTAATGGAAAACCTGTTCCCCAGCTTGTCAACTGCAGGAAAAAGTAACACCAAGGACAATCATCCCGTCTCAGCAACACTATCAAAGCAACAGAGAATGATTCCTGGCAAGAGACAATGATAAAGTTATCCAAAGAAGAGAAGTCAAGAAGGAAAAAGGCCCAGTACTCACCGGTTGTATCTCTGCCTTCTTGTTTCAGGTACCTAAGCATAGCACTCATGCTCCATTTGTTTCCATAATCCTCCACTTCTGGATCGTCACAACTAAAACAAATTAATAAATCAAAGTCACATATGTAACTAGGCTTGGCTATAATAACAAGACTCTTTGCAAATAGCCTTCTTGTCTTTTTAAAAAGTTTTTTTTTTAATTCACTTTGCTGACTTCCAGTTACTCATTTTTTCTTGGTCCTTTTTGTCATATATCCTTTCATACCAATTTCTTCAATGGAAATGAAAATGCATACAGTTTGCCTTTTTCAAGAGGGTGGGGAAGAAGGCGGCAAATTCTTTCTTAACCAAACAATTATGCATCAAGAAAGAGTGAAAGCAATGTGTGAAAGAAGGCAAACAAATTTAAGAATGGTTACAACAAGTTAAAAGACAATTAACCTTTGAGGTGAATGTCACCTGAGTCCACAAAACAACCTCTGATGCCATTTTCAGACCAGAACTGAGTTGGAATGGGTGAGTGAGTTATTCTGGTGCAGCATGCTAATGAAATAACCCCACACAGAATTGCTTTGGCATCTGAAGCAGGTTCCCTCCTCTTTGGCAGTAGATATGGCTTTTCCTGATTTTTTTGAGGTAACACTGAAGGGAGAGTGCACTGGAGTGACAGTAAGAGTGAGGAGGTATACTATTGCTATGGCAGCGGAGTGGCCAATGGCACAGCCTCCCACGAATGTTGGAAGAGCCCCGCAATCTGGAACCTGTGTTTTGCAGCTGTCCCCTCACTCCCTACCACCATCCCACTCTCCACCAATTGTGCCTTTGCTCATCTTTCACAGTGGAGGTATGATCTCTTCAGTCAATGCAAATGCTGCTCACAGGATATTTGCTGAAACCTATATAGCTTCAGCAACTATTCTATCACTTCCAGATTCCTTTCTTTCTTTCCTTGGACCTGCTAGGAACCTATTTTTAGTCTGAGTAGAAAGTAACTATTTGGGTCTCTTTTCCACTTTTCCACTTTCTGGCAAAAATATCGGCATGAAAGAAAACAGAGCAAAAAGAATATTTCCACACAGCTGGGCTAGTACTCCCTTCCACTGAATCCTTTTCTGAGATGGCCTCATTTCTTTCTTTCTTTGATTTTTTCCTTTTCTTTTTCTTGATCATACAAGTATTTATTTTAGAAAAATTTAGAAAATACATAATGGCACAAAGAAGAAAATAAAAATCACCCACTCACAATCCTACCCACT
This sequence comes from Homo sapiens, assembly GCF_000001405.40. Taxonomy (NCBI): domain Eukaryota; kingdom Metazoa; phylum Chordata; class Mammalia; order Primates; family Hominidae; genus Homo; species Homo sapiens. The sequence goes on along the minus strand of NC_000014.9, from coordinate 75,718,571 downwards.
ATAGTTAAGCTAAATTAACACTTCGGTACTACTTCTGGTCTTTTTTTCCTCCCCCCTCAGCAAAAATAAGCAGCTTTAGATATCTCATATTCAAGCAAGAAAGTTAAGTTGCATGTGCTATCTGATAACCTGCTTTTTCCACCTACGAATACATGGTAATGAACATTCTTATCACTGATCCTGTGTGTACATCTTTTATTCCTTAAGGTTAAGTTCCTAGAAATGGAACCATGGGGTCAAAGGGTACAGACATTTTTTAAGCTTTTGATATGTTTGCCAAGTGCTGAAATGACCTCATTTCTTAACTTCTAAAACGTTCCATATGCCTATTAAATTCCCATTCCTAAGTCAAGTGAGGGAAGGCAGTGAGGAAGAAAAACTTGTGAAGGCACATTTTGGTAGAGAAAGGTGACACCGTTAACCGGGGAGGCAATGGAGAAGCAGCAGGAGATATGCCTCAACACTGTTATATGACTGACAGATTTCCATAAATGGTACATGGACATTAATGTAAAGTTGTCCTCCAGTGCCACATGTTACCTTTCCACCTCTACAACACCCACATCTGAGACTGACACCTCTGACTTCTGGCTCAGACACAGCCAGTACCTGACGTAATCTCCACTTTTCTTGTTGACACTGTAGTTTGTCAGATGCATGAACTGGTTCCGAATGTTCTTGGCTCCTTGATCATATCGCACAGTTGCAAACCTGATAGAAGGGAAACAGGTTAAATGCCAGGAACAGAGTTTCAAGGAAATACAGGCTGGAACTGAGGATCAATGAGATAATAATAAAGGAGGGTAATATCATTACCTAACAAATACCAAGTGCCTACTAAGTGCTAACTCCCATTCTAAGTGTTTTATAATGTCATACTTAATTCAATCCTTAAAGCAACCCTATGAAGTAGATAATATCGTATCCAAGTTGAAAAACAGATGTGAAAACTAAATGTGGTCTATTAAATAACTTGTTCAAGATCACACCAACTCCAAAACCCATGGACTTAATCACAACAAGACATTGCTTCTCTTATATAGAACATTACACCAATAGGAAGAATGAAAATTGAAAATATAGCTATTTACAACCTGGGAAATTGTGTGTAGGATACTGTGAAAGATGCAGCATTAGCTGGTCCAGAAATAACAACTGGCTGGGCATGGTGGCTCATGCCTCTAATCTCAACACTTTGGGAGGCCGAGGCAGGAGGATTGCTTGAGCCCAGGAGTTTGAGACCAGCCTAGGCAACACTGCAAGACCCTATCTCTACAAAAAATTAAAAAATTAAGCAGGCGTGGTAGTGTGCACCTGTAGTCCCAGCTACTTGGGAGGCCAAGGTGAGAAGACTGCTTGAGCCCAGGAGACAGAGGCTGCAGTGAGCTGTGATCGCACCACTACACTCCAGCCTAGGCAACAGAAACACCGACTGAGTGCCCACACAGTGCCTGGTACTATAGCATTCAATGAAAAAAAAAATAAGCAAAAAGAAAAAATGACAGCACAGCTATATGTAGGCTTAGAGCTGACATCCATAGAAAGAATAGAACTGATCCATAATACTCATTTAAAAAGAATGATAATGACAGCATTAACAGCAGACAAAGCAAAACGGCATAAATATGGGCACAGTGCAAGAGACTTAGTCCTGAATTTGAAATGAAGGCAAAAGAGGAATTAAACATGGAGCCCACTGAAAACAGGGTAGCAATTTGATATCCCGGACTGTTGTCAAAAGAAGACCAAAGTATAAAATACATGTGCCTCTGAAGGAAGTAACCAGGGAAAGAGAGAACTTTCCAGTGATGCTCAATATCAACAAAAGGATGCTCAGTATCAACAAAAGGACACTCAAGGCGAATGGTTATGGTAGATATCAACCCCTGTTTACATACCACTGTAACCATATCACCCTTCACTAGAGTGGTTTTCCCAAGAGGCATATCCAAGTGTGTGAAAAAAAAAAGAAGGCCACAAGTTTATTTTCATATGACTTACAAATTATTTACATATGCTTACTCAGACTATGAAGTCAACATGAATTTTCACCACATTAAAGGTCAGCATTAAAAAACTTTCCTCTTCTCTGTTTCTTCTCATCCACCCACTATCTCCACTCCCTAATTCCCTGTACCAGAAATATACAAGAGCCAAAGAAAGAATAGTGAAAAGAAAAAAAACCCCAAACCCAAAAAACTAAAATAAACAAACATGAGGCTAGGAAAAAGGATGTGGACAAAGAGAAAATGATGACTAGGCTAAAAGACAAGAGTTTGATGAGCATTATTATGTCTGTGCTTGAGAAGGACCCCAGATTTTCTAGAAACTTCCAACTTCCAGTAGTTATCACTTAACTTCTAGCCATGTCACACCCCAGTGCCCTGGTGAGTAACCCTTGCCTATGCATCCCAATCTTCCTCTAATAGATTGTCCAAGCAAGTTGCAGACTGTCATTCTCTGAATTCTTGTGAGATGCAAAGGGGCCCCGTGCTGGCTGCCTGCCTCAGCCAGACATTACCTCAAGGTGACATCCCTCCTGTCATCCTCTCCCCTCAAAGAACAATGAATTAGAAGGAGGGGAAAGCTTCTGCTTCAGAAAAAGAGGCTTTTCATCTCTTGTAGTTACTACAAGTACTTGATCTAACTTGGTCAACATGAAAAGCCTGACAAAAGTCTGTGGTGAGCTGGAATCGGGTACCAACACATTTGTCATTCCTATATTCTTTTTTTCAAGAGGGCTGCACATCTAAAAAAAAAAAAAATCATGTTTCTTCTTCCTAATCTTCCTTTTCACTGGAGCATTTTATTCTGAACCCCAGCAAGGATAAGATTTCTAATATCAAAGCGTGGAATTCTAAACTGAGTGTATGAAGCAGAAGCAGCAAAAATTAAAGTGAAACAAAAAAGCTTAAAGGAAAAGTTCCCCTGAAGGGTGAAAGTGCTCCACTCCATATCTCCCTCAGTCTAGTGGGGAACATACACTATGGAGAGAAAAGGTGTGCATGTTCATCTTTCCTCCTACCCCAGTAAGAGCTTATAGCTCTCACTAAAATCCATAGTAAATAAGCCATCATCATCATCTGACCACTATTTTCTTTTTTATTGTCTAGACCACAGGTCACATTAGTCTTGAATGTGACCTACTGGTCAAGTTCTGATTAACCTACAAAAGCTTTGTTTTTTCTTTTAAACTTTAATTACCTGAACAACATATAAAAATCAGACCTTCCTTCTTGCAGCCCAGGGGTAGCCAGGGCCCACATGAGGAAGATGGTGAGTTACAAAAAAAAAAAAAAAAAAAAAAGGAAGATGGTGAGTAGGGTGGGAAGTCAGCCAGAAGCACAAGGAGGTTTTCTAAGCAGGGAGGCCACCAAATAAGGGTATAAATCCATATAAAAACGGCATCTGAATGGGACAGTGGCCCAGTGGGGTCAGGAAACTGGCCACATACAAAGGAATTGAGCAAATAAATAAATATGTTAAAGATACTGCGAGCCAGATTTCCTGCTGTTGGAAAAGAGATTTTAAAATATGAAAAGCAAAAAACAAGAAGGAACTCTGTAGTTTTGAACTAGAATTGTGCGTACTAGTATAAACTTCTATTTTTCAACAATACATTAGAGACAGATATAGAAATACAGATGTACAAGTGTATATGTACATAAATACATAATTTCCTAACTCTGCTCATGGCCAGGGTCTGAAAGCAGAAATGCCCCAAAACAATGAGCGTATCTAGCACCCAGATATTGATTTCTAAATATTATACTCCAAGAAAAAGCAACCAGTGCTCCTTGGAGAAATGGTTGATTCCAGGGATAGAATAGAGAAAGAACAAGATGAGCCTGAAACATCTTGTGCTCAAAGAATGATAAAGACATGTCAAAAGGACACAAAGCCAGCTTGAGAGGTCTCCCACTGGCCAAATCTGGGACAATTTGAGCATCAAAATAAATCATGATAGTAAAGAATTATAACCCATTAAATAAAACAGGAACGCTTGAGTCTGCATTGGTATAAATAAATAGATGAATAAATAAACGAGAAGATAAAGCTCTTCCTCACAGAAAAATGCCAAGAAATAAAAGTTATGATGGAATTAAAAAATCATCATTTGGCAACTATTACAGCAATAATTCATTAAGGCAAGAAAAATCAATAGATTTTTCTTAAAAATGAGAAATGAGATGAAGAATGAAATTTTACATGATTTAAAGTATCTCCTTATAAAATACTTACTAATTACAAAGGGTAAGACCAAATAATTTTACAGTGGAGGAATCTAGCAGATGACCTAAAGCAAATGGTCAAACACCACTAAATGACTAGCATGTGCCATCACATATAATGCAATGACAAGAATTAGTATCACTTTTGTGGTATTCTGGCCCCAAATGCATTACCTAGGTCTCTTCATGAGAAAATATCAGACAAGCCCAAACTGAGGGACAATCCACAAAATGACTGGCCTGTAATCTTCAAAAATGCTGAGATCATGAAAGTCAAAGAAAGACTAAGGAACTGTTTCAGACTGAAGGAGACTACGGAGACCCGACGGCTAAATACAACATGTGATCCTTGATTGGATCCTTTTGTAATTAAAAAAAAAAAAAATCTTAGGACAATTGGCAGAATTGGAATGAGATCTCTAGACATAGGGTAAAAGGTAATTTTTCATATAATTCTTACAGCTCTGACAACTCTATAAGTTCAAAACGGTTTCAAAATTAAAAGTGTAAAAAAGTGCTTTGTTTCACAGTAAAAATCTACATGTTCAAGCCTCACTTAACAAACCAGATCTGGCAATACCAGTATCAGCTGCTGGCACTAAATAGTAAATGCCTTTAGATGAGACATGTACTCTCCATTCTCCAGTCTCCACTCTTCCTTCAGTGAATGTACTTGTGAGCATTTATGTTAGTGACCTTTGATTTAGACCATCACATATTATCAAATTTCATCTTCTCTAGGTCTGAAGTTTCAACACCATTTCTCTATTAACAATAACCTAAAAGAGCACTATTTACTAGGTACCCCAGGACCAAGTTTGCACATACAACCATTCGTCACTTAACAATGGGGATATGCTCTGAGAAATGCATTGATAGGCCAATTTCATCGTTGTGTGAACATCATAGAGCGTATTTACACAAACCTGGATGGTATAGCCTACTACACACCTAGGATAGATAATACAGCTTCTTGCTTGTAGGCTACAAACCTGTACAGCATTGTACTATACTGAATACTGTAGGCAACTGGAACACAATGGTAAGTATTTGTGTATCTAAACATAGAAAAAGTAATACATTGTGTTATGATGTTACAATGTCACTAGGCGACAGAAATTTTTCAGCTCCATTACAATCTTATGGGATACCATAGTATATGTGGTCCTTCCTTGCCCATTGTTATAAAGCACATGACTACATGACCACACTTATCCTAATGTAGACCAAAATTTACACGATGGAGTCAGTCTTGTATCTCCCTCTTAATGAGATCAAGATTTAGGAAAGTTCTCACGACAGACCTTTAAGGCTTTGACCTTTAAGCTAACAAAAGGTGGGAGAGTTCCTACTTTCTTTGTTAAATTTGAAACCCTAGGTACTATTTTGCAGCCTATTGATGAATATAGAACTATTTGCCGCCCCCTCCCCCCTTTTTAACCACAATGAAAACAAATATGAATTGTTTTGGACAATATCTTTATTTTGACAATAAATTTTTAAATCACAAGTTACATTTCCTTTTCGCTTTCTAATGTTTCTCACTGAGAATCAAGATAGTGATCAAGATAATTTGATCAAGAGAATCAAGATAATTTGTCTAAAAGTCTGAATGTCTGTGTGGAGAAAAGATTTCAATGTTTGGCATATGGTAGGGACTTGGCAAACATTAACTGAAACTGCACTGGAGTTGCTTGCTCCAAGATCTTTACCAATATGGAACCAAAACAAGAAGGAAAGCAGAGAGTTAGTGGGATCTTTTAAACTCTCTTCCCCTATTCAAAAACCAGTTTGTTCTTCTAAGAATATGACCCCACATGTTCTTTTTTTTTTTTTTTGTCCTGCTGTTTTCTTAAAAACTTTTTTTTGATACCAATATCTTCTTATGGTCAGAGTCACAGGCATTCTAGATGTAGAAGCTTAACATCCTCTTTGGTAGTTATATTTTCTGACAAACATTCACTACAAATGTACCAAGAAAAGAGAAGGCCAGCCTCGACCTCGCTGTGGCACATGAGTTATCCTTCAACAGGTGTAGGCATTTTGAGTCAGAGAGGCCTGGACAATGAAGAGACAGCACCTCAGGCAGCCTTGCCAGGAGCCACTGGGTTTCATCCTGGCCTGACCCAGAAAAATCTTATGGAAGAGAACAAGAGGCCCAAGAGCTCTCTGATCTGCTGTCAACCAGCTGCAGCCGGGAGACTGCCAAAGCGCTGCAGTGACTAGGCAGCGCCCTACAGAGCCGTCTGGGAGGGGATTACCAGCCTGATCCCTTGTCTTTAGAGCCAGAAATGACTCAAACTTCACAAACAGCAAGGGCCTGCCAGGGAGGGTGACAATGAGCACTGGAAAGGGTTTTCTCCCCCTTGTTGGTGTCTCTTCCCCCCTACTTGCTGCTGTGGCAGATTCTGGACAGTGTGCAGCCTGTGAGGTAATCTGAATTCCTTGGCAACCAGCAAGTACCTGAATTCTTTCAAAACCACAGGAATCCAGCAGAGAAAAGGTAAATATCCCTGCAGAGCCAGTGTTAATTAGCAAGGAAGGCTACTGAAGAAGGAACTGGGGGTGGGGAGAAAGGGAAAGGCACTACAAATGTTTTGGGGTCTTTTCTGAATTTCCACTGAATAATATGGCTGAGGCAGAAAAAAGGCCATTCCAACCGGGACCTTCCCAGAATCCTCTCTTCCCACCTCCGCCGCATGGGTGGAACTCAGCTCCCTGGATGGATACTTGCATGCCCCCCAAGTTGCTAGAGCTGCCTATCTTTGGGTCTCTGGCAACATATTTAGTTTTTAACTCCATTTTGTTTTAATTTTTTTGAAATTTTTATTTTTCCTGTTTCAGTGAAAATCTGGCTATTAGCTTCATCTCAGAAAGGGCTCTGTCAACTCATCTAAACCCAATACTGGATCCACCTAAAGCTGTAAAATCCAGGACAAAATCTTTTTGGAGTCCACCCCTGACAGGAAAAAGAATCTGCACCATTTTGGTAGAGCATAGCACCCCTCTGTGGAAACTGAGTGTCCCCTGGTGGTGCAAAACAGCAACACGCAAGTAAAATTCAAAAGCACAGGGGACCTCTGAGGGCTACTGTGGGAATCACAAAAAGCTGCACCCAAATACCAGGGGGACAATTGCAACACTTCTTCAATACTATACCCACACATGAGAAAACAGTGAGAGCTCTCCCACTTCTTATGTTAATAAAACAATAAGGACAACTGAAAACACTCATCTATACAGAAACTAGGGTTTTCACGAATTTAATTTTGTGTTAAAAAATTTTACACAAAATAACTTATATCACAAAACTGTCTTGTGAAATGAATTTAATCTTTCTGTCGCCTAGTATTAATTTGAGGTCCAAAACAGAAGTGATAGGGTGTAAGGGAATTCATTTCTAAAGAAGGAAATGAATTGTATTTGCCTCCTGTTCCGTCTCTTTAGGAAAGATTATGGTTTTTCTTGTTGAGCCTCAACGTAACCCAATAATCTCATCCCAAACTGATGATCTTCAGTTATGTCTACATAAATTACATGTGGCCCAAGATAACTAAAAGCTGCAGATCTGGAGATGCTACAGACTATCGACATAGTTGAACAGACTCTGAGGGTTACAACAAAGCAAGTGAATGTCAAGATACATAATTAGTGAAGACACAAGAACTTAGGCACATTGAAATTACTGCACGGAACAATGTGCCCTCGCAGGACTCCCGCAAACAGTGCATCATATTGCCATGCGTTATGCTTTTGTAAAGCTTTGATAAAGCTTTTATATTCACCTACACTTTCAGGTAAACCTAACCAAAGCCCTGAAAATTCATGTGGCTTTCTGGTTCTACTTGGTCTGAGTTTTTTAAAAGCTGTTTTTCTAATTATTCTGTGAAAAAACATCCATTGTGTGTGTGTGTGTGTGTGTGTGTGTGTGTGTGTGTGTATAAATTTTTTTGTTTCTGCTGGAAGCAAAAGGGTTATACTTAATTCAGTAGATTCTGACTTCCAACACACAACCAGTAGCCAAAGCACTTGCATATTTGTAGTAAATTCTATAATAAACATTGGTACTGTTGTTCTCATGTTGTGCTCTGAACCAGAAAGGTCTTAAAATTATGCCAAATTTTACCCATAGAGAGGGCTGTTAATATTGTAGGTGAAAATATCTTTGGAATATTAAGCAAAACATATTGCTATGATGTCCTTGAGAAACAGTGAAGCACAACCTCCATCTCTTTTCTCTATTCCCAAAGTCCAATTTTTGGCAGGACATAATCAGTTTCTAAAACTTGACACAGGAGAGAAGTGAAGGTGAGGATGAGCAGAGGAAGGAGAATGATGAAACTCATAACACAAAAGAGAGAAAGCTCAGAAGTCTCAAATTATAAAGCTGAAAATCCTCAGAACCTTGCATATCTGAGAAGTCAGGACTGTATTTTACCATCATTTTGTTTTAAATAATATAGGGAATAGGCTTTTTCTTGGTCTTTTTTTTTTTTTTTTTTTTTTTTTTTAATGAGATGGGGTCTCACAATGTTGCCCAAACTGGTCTTGAACTCCTGGCCTCAGGCAATCCTCCCGTCTCGGCCTCCCAAAGTGCTAGGATTACAGGTGTGAGCCACCACGCCTGGCCAGGAATAGGCTTTTATACCTAATTTTGTATAGTGATACTTCAAAACGTGAGAGCACGTGTGTCTACAAATATTATCGACAATTTCTTTCCTATAAAAACCTGATTAGAGCTAGTAGTCAGCTCATGTTCAGATGCCTGGTCCAGCCCTTTATCTAATAACTGCGAGATGTTTCAGTTCTTCCCTTTCTCAATTTTCAAGGAAGAGGCCAGAACTAGGGAGTTTTGGTAGTCTCCAATGTTCCCAGGGCTCAAACTCAAAATCTCAGTTAAGAATATGACAGGACTTATAAATGCTGTGACTGCCACCTAGAGGCGAACGGAACACAGAGCTCCACCAGCGAGGTTTGGTTAGTCTGCTCTCACTGATTTCAAGTCATAGGATACATGTGAAAAAAACTAAGTCTCTAAAATCATTAAAAGACCATTCTAAAATAATAGTTGTCAGAGTACAATAATATCTGTCAAAGCACCTGTACATAAATAGGTAGCCTTCTTTTATCCATGGTATTTCCCATCTTCCAATTGCATTTTCTAAAATACAGAAACATACACAGACCAGGCTTTTTTAGCTTGTCGTGACCACTCACAGATGCAAATCACCTCCTAAACTGCTATGCTTTATAACAAGCTTGTCCAACCTGAGGCCCACAGGCTGCATACAGCCCAGGACAGCTTTGAATGTGGCCCAACACAAATTTATAAAGTTTCTCAAAATATTATGAGTTTTTTGCAATTTTTTTTAAGCTCATCAGCTATTGTTAGTGTATTTTAGGTATGGCCCAAGACAATTCTTCTTCCAATGTGGCCCAGGGAAGCCAAAAGATTGGACACCCCTGCTCTATATCAAAGGCACTACGCATAAAAAGAACTTCAGGGCAAACTAGTTGGCTAATACAAAAATTTAGTTTTGTTGGGGGGAAGAACACAGCATAGTAGTTACATACTTATTTTAAACAATTTAAAGGGTTTACAAAAACAATTACCTGTAAAATTCTGTGGCTAGAGGAAACAAAACTTCAAAATATAACAACTTGAACTTAATCTTGTAAGTCACATTACCTTAAAACTTAGAAAGCACCTCAACAGGCCAGGTGTGGTGGCTCACACCTGTAATCCCAGCACTTTGGGAGGCTGAGGCAGGCGGATCACGAGGTCAGGAGATCGAGACCATCCTGGCTAACACAGTGAAACCTCGTCTCTACTAAAAATACAAAACATTAGCCAGGCATGGTGGGGGGCACCTGTTGTCCCAGCTACTCAGGAGGCTGAGGCAGGAGAATGGCGTGAACCTGGAGGCAGAGCTTGCAGTGAGCCGAGATCACGCCATCTCAAAAACAAACAAAAAAAAGCACCTTAACAAAAAGAGAACAATGTATGTACAACCACTGTAAAGTAACTTGCATGTTAAGGAAAAAAAAAAAAACCCTCAATTAATACCTTCCAAATATGAGAGGGCATGAAATTGTCTGAGCCCTGAGCTCTGGAGTCAGATCCATGAGGTCAAATCCCCATTCCACTTCTCCCACCTCTAAATCTGTTTCCTCAACTGCAAAAATGCATCAACTAAAAGGTTGTTGCGAGGATGAAAATAAATGCCTGGCATATAATAGGCAAATACAGGTAGGATTTTATTTTTCTTTCTACATCTATCCTGAAGAATAACAGCAAATTATCTTAATATCCTAGGAGCTTCATAACAATTGTCACTGCAGGAAAATACCATATGATCCTGGATCAGTGCTGGGGAAGATGTTTACACACCTTATGTGTGGACATGCAGTGAGACTACAGACAAATAAGCCTAATTTCTGAAGTTCTTTTTAGGCATACTGGCTTTGATGTTATAGAGCACAGCAGTTGAGGAGGTGGATTGCATCTGTAAGCAGTAATGACAAGTAAAAATAGCATGATCTGATTTAATAAACTTGTTAATGGATCCACTCTTAATATACCCACCCTTAATATACCCACCCAACCCCTTCACCCCCAAACAGCTTCTTACCTAGCCAATCCTTCTTCATAGAGATAGATGACAAGAGGATCATAGGAAGTCACGAGCACATAGAGGCGCACGTCAAACTTGAAATCTAAAAAAAAAAAGTTTGTATTCACAAAAAAAAACTAAGTTCATTTGTTTCCTGTTACAGAATAAACAACGAAACCAAGAAACATGAAAGAAAGAACATTCCTACACTCCACATGAAACACACACTGCTCACACACCTTGACTTCGGAGGATAACTAATAATTATACTATATAATTGTACCGTATACATATTATGTATATAGTACATAATAAAAACCGTATAATGTATATATACATTAATATAACTGTAATGTATATATAATGCATATGTGTGTCATTTTCATATATATTAATTACTGCACAATTTTCATACATATACTACTATATAACCTATAAAGCACTTTCTCTTATATTGTCTCATTTCACCTTCAGATAAATCCCGTGAGATAGGTAAGGAACCTGCTGCCTTTCTGGAGCCACACATGTCAAGAATTTCACAACAGTATAATAAAGACTTACTAGAGAAGGCTATGAAAAGCTTAAAAAGTTGAGCAAAAATCTGGCCCAATTTGGTCAAGGGCCTAATCACAACTCACCATCTATGAGCAGGGGGTTGTTAATGTAACGGGAGACCAAAATGTTCTCTTCCAGGGAGATCTGGTTTGGCTATTGAGTAAAGAGAAAGAATGAAAGAATAGAAATACACAGGAATCCTAATTTACAATAAGGGAGCAAAGTTCTTAACCTTTAAAGAAATGGTAAGGTGGAAAACTAAAATTCTGGTTAAAGTTTCCTCCAAGGTACCCATATATTCAGTTGGCCATATAATATCACTTCTATAACACTATAGGCATCCAATTACGATGCAGGAAAAATAAATTTACACAGTACCTCTCACATAATAAATAATAAATAAATAAATAAATAAATAAATAAGCCTAATAGCCTTAAAGATGTATATACATGATATTAAATAGTTACCTGCCAAGAAAATAAGAGCCACTTTAAAAATAAATGAAAACTTGCTTTCTCCCTGAAGTATAATGGAAATTTAAAAATACTACTACTATTCTTAAATGAAGGCTTTCATTAACATGTTTGGAGAACTTACAGATCCACAATGGATCCTAGCATTTTCTCTGTAAAATGAGATAGGTGTTTAATTGATTCACTTAAGGGTATTTGCTAAGCAACTGTATGCAAAGAGTGAATAAGGTCTTTAAAAGATTTCTTCAATGAAAAACAGTTGTTTATACAATAAATAGAAAAGTACTGTGGACACTGCATATGGCACTGGGGATACCATGATGAACATAACACATATAATCTCTGCCTGGCAGATTTAAGATTCAGTAAATCCCTATCCCTGAAAAGTTTAATATTTAGGTAGAGGAACAGCAAAATATAGAATTTAAAAGAACACAAAGCAGCATTTCTATAAATACAAGATGCCAGGTTACAAAGTTAAAGTGCAGACCAATCAGGTGGGACCAGTCAGGGAAGACTTGTCCCAGAAGAGTAGATGCAGAAATGAGTGAAGGCTGGGAAGCACATGGTGGAGAAGAAAGGAGCCCATCATCGGAAGATGGCACGCACCAAGCCCAGTAGAAAGGAGGGTGGGCCGATTCACAGACCTGGGGCTAAAAGACTGAACTGGGAAATTATGAAAGACATGGTTAAACAATGAGGAGGGAGGTACCCTACTGACAAAGGGATTTGAACCCCTGGCAAAGGGAGTTTATATTTAGCATGGTGGGAAGCAGGAAATTATTGTGGATTCTAGATTAAGGAAACAGCAAGATTAAAATATCTGGGAGAAAAAAAAAAACCTTCACATGTGATTAGATAAAGCTGGAAGTCACCACAATCCATGTAGGACAAAAGGGCTCCAAAAGGGAAGTGGTAGTGATAATAATTAGGTTGATAATAGCTACAGTAAAGGCAACAGAAATAACCATCAACATTTGCAGACACAAAATTTAACAAATGTACTAAACACGTGGATGTGCCAAGTGCTGTTCTAAGTCTGTTCACAGGATTATTTCATTTAATCCTCACCCAACCCCATGAGGCAGGTATATCACCATCCACATTTTATAGATTAAAAAAGAATCAGAGTGGGTTAGGGACCTGCTCAAAGTCACGGAGCTAATAAGCAATAGAGCAGCAACGGAATCCAGGGAGTCTTCCTCACAGGCTTCGCTTTTAGGCTTTATTCTTACCTCTTCCCAATATTCTGCTCTCAAATTTAATTGTCCCCCAAATTCAAAAGTTTGTCTTTATAACAATGCATTTCCTACCCTCAATACTACTACTGTTTTTCATATGATAATTTTGTGACCTATAACATTATACACAACCAGTATGAGCAGCTCTGAAGTCAGAATGAGAGTCCTCTCTCAGTTCCCACTGCTGCTATCTCAAAGTCAGAACACAGCTTTCACAACCCATCTCTACGCATCATAGGAACACAATGACATCATTACTGATTCATCCCTAATGAACTTCATCATCCATACCATTTCCTGACTCCCTTACATTTCTTGATCAGCTTCTCGTAAGTACTATCTCCATTTTGAATCTGCTCAATGAGAATTGATGCAATCACTATACAGCTGCAGGCTATGTTGTAAACGTAAAATCAAACAATCACAGCTCTCTTCCTACTGAGTAGAACCTATAGGCTACAATAAATATCTACTCACCCAACTTTTCTCCACAGCAGAGAATATGCTGATAGTGGTCATCATTCCATGACACATCTAACGCCCATGCCCATTTCCTCTCCTCCCTTGCTCACCATACACATTTATCCTTTGAGTTACACGTAACATAAACCCTTACAATATTTAGGTAACTTTACTATGTGTTCTATTGTCTTTATCCCTCACTTCTATCCGCATTGGGAATTAAACTGTAGACTCCCAGAAGAAAAGAAAGGTTTGGATATAGTTTCTTTGCACAGCGTTACAGACTGAAGAGCAACTAAGAAAAACTTTTTGATATCTTCAAGCCTGTTTCCTTTCATCAATCCCCAGTTAACTCATTTCAAATTATTCCAATTCAAAGCTCAAACTGCCTCCCAAAGAATGCTGAAGTAGGAATCTGAATTGTTGGGAAAGTTGGAAACACATCTTTCTTTTCTAAGACAGCATCTCATTTCTTCGCCCAGGCTGGAGTCCAATGGTGTTATTTCAGCTCACTGCAACCTCCACTTCCTAGGTTCAAGCAACTGCCCTGCCTCAGCCTCCCCAGTAGTTGGGATTACAGACACGTACCACCATACCCAGCTAATTTTTGTATTTTTAGTAGAGATGGGGTTTCACCATGTTGCCCAGGCTGGTCTCAAACTCCTGGCCTCAAGTGATATGCCCGCCTCAGCCTCCCAAAGTGCTGGGATTACAGGCATGAGCCACTGCGCCTGGCTGGAAAGGTATCTTTCTAAATGGACCTTAAGGTTAAAGCTCATGGTATCTGTTAAGTCATTGTAAAGGAGAATGATATAGTGGTTAAGAGTGTCTATGCTGGAATCATCTGGACCTGAGTTACAACCTTGACTCTACCACTTATTAAGGAAATAATAACTACCTCATAGGGTTCATATATGGATTAAGTGAGATTATGTTTAGAAAGGACAGTGGTAGGCTCAATAAACATTAGTTATTATTACTGCAAACTTAACAGAATATATGTGGTTCTAATTACAAAGTCCCACAGCTCAACAGCATTCATCACTACCTGCTGCATGCCATTCTACTCAGAGTACTGAGTGGTACTATTATGAAAATTGGAGATACATAATAATTAGGAGAATTTCTCAAAAGCTTTTAAGGAGTGACAACACAGTAGGCACTCCTGAAATACTTGTTGAGCAATGAGAAAAACAAAGGGAACCTAAGATAAAAACACATAAACAAACAGAAACAAGAGAGTACAGAATTATATTCACGAATATAGGAGGGACTAGAGTGACCTAACACTCTCCTAACATGTGAAAGTCTCAGAGAATGTATCAATACTGTATTTCCCATGGATCATGTGTGAGACAAGAATGAGTAAACTTGACTTCCATAATCAAATTCATACCTTAATCAGAAAACACCCATTCTTTCCCCTCCTTGCTTTGAATATACTAAATTGGGAAAATATGGCATTTAGTCATGGTTACTGAAGGAGTGGAGCAAACACAGCTTTGTTCCTTTATGCTGTATTTCTAAAGAGCACATCCTTATGAGACCACGTTAGCCAACCGAGATGTTTCCATCTGTGGTCCACACTTCTCTTTTCAGTGTTACATAAAAGTGATGCTTTTGCTATCCTTTATCTCGTTCTCGTAATGGTAAAAGTTGCTATTTGCAGAGAGTTTCCAAAAGGTTATGACTACTATAGGGAAGTTTTAGTAAGTGGCCCTCTCACTCCAGTGGGAAGAGAGGGGAAGATATTTTCATTTGGCCCTCACACCAACTCCATCCCCACTGCCTAAATCCCTCACTCACTCACATTAGTTCTGCTCCCAGACCCTCTGCCTCAGCATTCCCTCTCCTCACCCTCCTGCTTAAATCTAAAAGGAAAGCAGGCAGCAGCCTTGGAAAGAGTTACTTCATCCAGTTGGCTAATGGGTCACATATTCCATGGGAAAGGATCCAGGCATGGAAAAGAGGGGATGGTTATGCCTTTTGTGTAAGGAGAGAGAAGAGTATTAACAACATGGTTTGCAGGTCTGGGTAAAAGGTGGTAAAATTCCAGTTTTGGGGTAAAACAGGAGTATTTTCCCATTATGTCCGCATGTTGCCAGCTCCCCTCATGCCTCCTGGCATCCTCCCAGGCTTCTGTCTGGCACTTCCACTAAATACCTAAAAGAATCAGACTCATTCCAAAGCTTCACAAAGAGGGAGGGGGAAGGCAAAAGGTCCTGCCAAGTACTTTGATCTATGCAGGGGGTCTCAAAGGATTCAGCCCAGGGAGAGGTGGGAGGGAGAAAAAGACTCTTACATAGCCTGCCAAACACATTCTCTAAGACATGTCACCCCACTGAGATTCGGCATCCAGGGAAGAGTTAGGGCGCAGGGTTCTCGGCTCCACCAAGGAAAGTTTAACTTTTCTATCCTTTATGATGCTAGCTTTAAAATAACAAATCACTAGGGCAAAAAAGCATTCCAAAAGAAAAAAGTCCCAGATGAGCTGGGAATAGATCCTATTCTTTTTGACTCATATCTAAGAAAATAAAAAGCAAACTTGTACCATAGCTGACTTTCAATAGCAATTCCATTTGGCAGCTAAAACCTAAACCCAAACTAGTGCCGTCTATGAGATTCAAACAACACTGGAGCTCCTGGCACAGAGCTGAAGGAAAAGCTGTTGGAGAGGGGCCTTCAACACCAACGTCAGAGCAGAGACAAGAGGAGACAGAGCCAAGGCATATGACCATGGCCTTATGTCACAGGAGACTCAGGGTAAAAGGCCTCCAGAGTGGCCTAGGCCAGGTAACAGAAGTTGCAGCCAATGCCTGGGGCTGTAGCAGTTGCTCTATCAAAACCAGATCCTATATTTCTTTGGCATGAAGGGTCTGGCCATCATTGTTTACGGTACTGTTTTGAGTCCAGACTGAATTTAAGGACTTTCCAATGTGAAAGATCCCTCAGAAAGTTAGTTTCTACACATATGGCAAACAGCTCAATGTGAAAAGACAAGTGGGGAATTTAAGATAGGGTTCTGGTCCCACATACAACACATCTACCTACCCCTGCCCTTCCAGAGTTCCAGTGGAAGGACAGAAAGAATATTTTCAAAAGAATGAAATGATATCAAAGCTAGGAAAAAGTAAAAGAAGCCAGAAAAGTCCAAAAGAGATAAGAGTGACCTTCCCAAGGAGGCTCCTGCAAATTTCCAAGCTTGTACTCAACAAACATGAAGCTCAGGGATCAGCCAAGGAATTAGAATCAGATAATTAACAAACAGCATTTGGAACAGTGAGGCCAGGAGACGTGTGGGTGCAGAAATCTGATAGAGAAGAGTAGAACTTGAGGCTACCTTATCACCAGTACACACAAAAAGGAAAAGAAAGGTAGCTCTGCCCAAGAGGGAGATCACCAAAATCCTCCTCTGCATTCACAATATGGCCCACTTTATTTTGGCAAGGTGGAAGGGGAGTGCTTCTCACCATGTCCACCTAAAGTAAAGCCTGAGAGTCAACATGTTTTGCCCTTACACAAAATTCACAGTCAGCCTCTTCCAGGGAGAAGATATTAGGAAAAGAGTCCTACACAACCACAGTAGAAACCCAGACCAGCGGCCAGTTTCATTCAGTCTAGTCTTTTGTTCATAAATATGGTCCAACATGTAAGGATCATCAAAGCTGAGAAAATCCAATAGCAGGGGAAAAGACAATCCCAATAAAATTAAAGGACAGAAGAGAACTTTACAAAAATTTCCATTGGTATCCTCAGAAGGAAAGGCAGGCAAACTGCATCCATTATGCAACAAAAGGTTGTTATTTGTAAATAAAAATAAAGCAAATCAGAATATGAGTTTCTGGAAATCAACCTATGATACCCAATATAAAAATACAGTAGATAAATGAATAATAAATGGATAAACCTCAACCTGTGATCTAGAAGATGGGAAAAGAATTAAAAATGCGAGAAAAGTTAACATGAAGGAAAGATCTAGAATGCCTCAAAAAAGAGTTCTAAAAGCGGAGACAAATAAGAAGATAACTTTCCTTAAAGAAAAACACCAGTTTCCAGACTGAAAATGCCTGCCAAATATCCAGGAGGAAGAATAAAAAACTGGTCCAGGCCTAAATCCTGGTTAAATTTCAGAATCCCAAAGTCTGTCAGCGGCAGCAGCAAATCCATATGGGTGGGTCTGCAGCAACTCACTTATTGCCTCCTTGCAGGAAAGAATTTGTCTGAGGGCATAAGGCAGAGTGAGAGACCAAGGCAAGTTTTAGAGCAGGAGTGAACATTTATTGAAAAGTTTTAGAGCAGAAATGAAAGGAAGTAAAGTACACGTGGAAGAGGGCCAAGCCGACAACTTGAGAGACCCAAGTGCCTGTTTCACCTTAGACTTGGGGTTTTATATGTTGGCATGCTTCCGGGGTTTTGCATCTCTCCTCCCTTGATTTTTCCATGGGGTAAGCTGTCTGCATGTGCAGTGGCCTGCCAGCACTTGAGAGGGGCCTCATACACAGTGTGTTGGCTGCAGCTGTGCACGTGCTCATTTGAAGTGTTTTTGCCTTACCAGTCGAGTGTTCCTAGAGGAAGGTCATATACCAGTTAAACTCCATCATTTTGCTTCTTAGGGCACATGCTTGAGCCTACTCGCCCAACTCCTGAGATCTTACTGGGAAATGGCTGATCACCAGCTTCAGGTGCCTGCCTTTCCCTGGCATCTGCTGCTACCAATTATTATTTTAGAGAGACCAGTTTAACAACTGCCTGACCATCACCTGATGATCACCTGACACTCCTTGGTGGTAGCGGGGGCCCTCTCATGCCCGGCTCATGTCTGCCCAGCTACCTATCCTAATATTTCCCCCTTTAGAAGTCCAAGAGTTGGTTTCCACTGAGTTTAAATGTTTTACTCAACTTATAGATAAAATAAAGAAACTGAATCATAGTTACTGAAGAGATTCTATTATTGTTTAAAACATAAACATAAAAACTAATCAAACAAATGTGCAAGGGAGGGTGGGACATGATGTAAATGCAATAAATGCCAAACTGGGAATTAACAAATACAATGTAATGTCAATGAAAGAAATATAAATCAACAAAAGTTACTAACTACTATTGTAAGTCCAGGGAGTGAGACCAGTAGGGATTTTATTTACCATGTGTATGTATTCAATTTAAGACAACTTTTAATGAGAATTTTGCAAAGAATCAAGATATTGCTGGCTTTTGAAAAAAGAGGAGAAATGAGACGAAGAAGGGCAGAAAGAGGAAAGGAAAGAGGAAGGAAGGAGGAGAAAGGAGAAGCAGCAGCAGTAGCGAGGATACCATACCAAATTAAGGTTCACTTGTTTGATAACCTTGAGAACAGAACCCACAGTTCTGCTCACAACAGATGCTAAACACATACGCTATCAATTAATACTTGGTGTGTAGGAATTAACATCACAATATGCTAAAAGCAGAAAAGGTACCTCTTTTCTGCTGACACAACAGGTTGCCCTCCCCTAAAATCTGATCAAGTGTCTTTTTAGCCATGGAGTAACTGCTGGTGCAGAAGATTCCTGCCAGTAAGGCAAACAAGTCAAGTTATACCTACGCTTAACTCACTTCTGAATGCAGATTTAAGAAGAGCACACCTGCTCTTAATGAAATGGAACTATATTAGTAACCAATACAAAGGGTGAAGGAGGAAAGAACAAGTGAGGAGAGAGGTTTGCCATCTGCTGCATACTTACATTGTTGATCAGGTAGACGCCCCGCCCCCTTGAAGATGCCACTGGTTTTACTATCCAAGGTCCCCGGTCCTTCGAATATGAATCTGCTCAAAATATTGGGAGATAAAAAACAGAGGAAACAAAGAAAAAGAATGAACTTGAGTTTATTATATCAACTTTCAAAAAGGGTTATCTACTCAGGGAACCCAAAAATCTTACAAATTTCTAAGTGTTGGGCAGTAACTAAAATTACCTGTATTTTTGGACTTGCCTTAAAAATAAAAATAGAGCGAGGGAAGGAGGGAGGAGAAAAGAGGACAGCAAAATCACTCCCATAGTAATTTCTTCCACCATTTCGCCTCTTTCCTTTTCTTTTTTTTTTTTTTAAGGCAGGGTCTTTGCTCTGTTGACCAGGCTGGAGTGCAGTGGTGCTTCCATAGCTTATTGCACCCTCAACCTCTGGGGCTCAAACAGTCCTCCCACCTCAGCCTTCTGAGTTGATGGGACTACAGGCATGGGCCACCATGCCCAGCTAATTGTTTTTAACTTTTTGTAGAGACAGGGTTTCTCTATGTTGCCCAGGCTAGTCTTCAACTCCTGGCCTCAAGCAATCCTCCCACCTCAGCCTCCCAAAGCGCCGGAATTACAGGTATAAGCCACCATGCCCGGCCTCCCCTCTTTCTTGAATGAAAAGATGAAAACAAAATAAGGCAAATATCTGGATGTTAGTCTATTACTGTCACAAAGAATCATCATGAATCTTTGAAATGCTTACATCTGTTAACTAAAGGACCTTAGGCAAACAGTGTCAATGTAAGCCAAAATCTAGTTCTTATAATACAGCTACTTTCCTTAAATATTTCGAGCTTATAAAAAAAAATTCACTGTAAATCAAGCAATGTGCCAGTGGAGAGGAAGGACAATCATTTACAAGTGATTAAAAGGTGCCATTTGTCCTGTTCCTTTCCCAGGTTCAGCTTTACACTTTATATCCCTTTGGATCGTGAAAAGAGAAAGCAGACAACTGACACTAAGCCTCCCAGAGGCTTGCAAGTGGTCTGAGGAAAAGCAGCTCTGTCTTCCACTTAGGGAGTGTCAGAAGTCAGGGGAGAGAAGCAGGCTAGAGCTCTCAGTGCTGCTGATTCTCACATCCCAGACTGGAGAGAGAGCACTGGTCCCAGCTGTGCCTCTTCCACTTTTGATGAAATACGTCAGGTGGCAGCAGTCAGTACTGTTTCAAAGCAGAGATGGGATGAAAGGTAAAAATTGAGAGAATTTTTTGTTTTTGGTATTTTTCTTCAATGAAGGAAGAGAGAAAGGGAAGGAATAGTGTGGGGAAATAAATCAAGCAAATGCAAATGTTTCTGAGCAGATCTCACAAAGACTTCCTTTTTCCAAATTGCCTAGGTTGCTGTGCGCCAAGATATCAGTCCCAGTTTATCTAGAATACAACAGCATAAACCTAAGAAAGTTCCCTATAGTTTCTGTTCTTCTGGTTGGACCTATTAAGAGGCAAGTCCTTTTCTAGGGCTCCAGTATCAGAACAAGACTTTCAGATACTGGAGTCCTGAAGTTTTGCACACTTCCCTCCACCCTGCATTTGGGCCTATACCAGGCAGGTCTTCAGAAGGAGCTCTCTAGGCTCAGCTCCTTTTCCCAGATGACTTGCCAGCAACTACTTGTCTCCTTTTCTTTCCTCTCCCTCTGACATGAGCCAGTCTCTTCAAAGCCTCCCACACAAACTTGACTTTGTCAATGCCACAAACCATTTCAGCAGGAGGAAAGAAAGAGATCTTTTGTCCACTCTCCCCCATCTTCCTCTGCCTTTTCCCTTGATGCAGAATTAACAGAATTAGAAAAAATTTAATGTGCCGCACAGAATTTAAAACTCTGTGAGCAATTCTACCTCTAGAACTATATCCTCTAGTTCTACTCACACATGTGTAAAATATTGCATATATAAGATTTTCAATGCTGTGTTATAACAGCAAAATATTAATTAAATACACTACAATGCATCTGTATGAAGGGTCGGCAAACTATTTTTGTAAAAAGCCAGAGAATAAATATTTTAGGCTTTGCAGGCCATGCAGTTTCTGTGGCAGTACCTAACTCTGCAATTGTAGCTTGAAAGTAGCCATAAACAATATGTAAGCAAAGGGGTGTGGCTGTTTACATAAAATTTTATGTATGAACACTGAATTTCATATGATTTCTACATGCCACAAAATTTTATTCTTCTTTTGATTTCTTTCCAACCATTTAAAAATGGTTCTTAGCTTGTGGGACACACAAAAACTGGCAGAAGACCAATTTCACTCAAGGGATATAGTTTGCAGACATCTAATCTACACAATGGAATATTAAGCAGACACACAAAACAAGAATATTATTAATGAACTGATATGGAATGATCTTGAAGATAGCCTGTTAAATGAAAAAAACAAAGTGCAGGGCAATGTATGTTATATACGCCCATCTGTTCATATACACACGTTATTTGCTAGTAAATGCAAAGAATATCTCTAGAGGGTATGTAAAAAACTAGTAACACTGATCATCTCTGGGGAGGAAAATGGGATGACTGAGGAACAAGAGGAGAAAAGAGTCTTTTCACTGATGACTGTTTTGGAATTTCTTTTGTACCATGGGAATATATTACCTTTCAAAAAATATAATTTATAAGTCCTGCTATAGAAGACATATTTATAGTTATATATGACAAAAAATTAAATTTCCATAAAGTGAGGCCACTGAATATATGTATGTGTATTCAGTTTATATATTTTTTTCACTTTGCCATTTTCCCCAGATACTGAGCAGACTGAACAGAATGCCTGAGCAAGAGGCTATTAATATCAAAACAAAACAAAAAATAACAAAACTTTCCAAATGTCACTCATTTAATACCTCTAAGTATCTAATCTGTGTCCATCAGTTTGCTAGGTGTGGGGCGCACAGTATTAAAAAATACAGTCTTTTCCATCATGAAGATTAGACTAGCCGAAAAAACAGACATTGAACAAGTAATTACAGGCAATGAGAGTTATAAAAAGGAAGTACAAGGTTCTACAGAAATGTCTAAGGAAACGACCAGGC
Organism: Homo sapiens; assembly: GCF_000001405.40. Lineage (NCBI taxonomy): Eukaryota > Metazoa > Chordata > Mammalia > Primates > Hominidae > Homo > Homo sapiens. The sequence continues at coordinate 75,696,192 of NC_000014.9, read as the reverse complement.
TAGTTATTAATAGGCTCACTCACACCTGTAATCCCAGCGCTTTGGGAGACTGGGGCAGGAGGATCCCTTGAGGCCAGGAGTTCAAGACCAGGCTGGCCAACCTACTGAGACTGTCTCTATGGAAAATAAAAAAATTAGCCAGGCATGGTGGTGTGTGGCTGTAGTCCTAGCTGCTTCTAAGGCTGAGGTGGGCAGATTACATGAGCCTAGGAATTCGAGGTTATGGGGAGCTATGATTACCACAGCCTGGGTGAGAGAACAAGACCCTGGGGAGGGAGGGGAGGGGAGGGGAAGGGAAGGAAGGAGAGGGGAGGGAAGGGGGAAAGGTAGCGGGAGGAAGGTAGGGGAGGGAAGTGGGAGAGGGAAGTCGGGGAGGGGAGGGGAGGGGAGGGCAGGGAAGGGAAGGGGTCAAAGCCATCTGGAGACAGTACCCTCTACTTTGTGAACTAGGCTTATCAGAAGTTAATGCTTCTGGCTATCGGGGGAACCACCCCCAATATTTCAACATAGGTTCTTTTCTATTTCCCTAAGTGTTGGCCGGTCTGAGAAATAAAGGGAAAGAGTACAAAAGAGAGAAATTTTAAAGCTGGTGTCCAGGGGAGACATCACATGTTGGCAGGTTCCATGATGCCCCCTGAGCCGCAAAACCAGCAAGTTTTTATTAGTGATTTTTAAAGGGGAGGGAGTGTACGAATAGGGTGTGGGTCACAGAGATCACATGCTTCCCAAGGCAATAAAATATCACAAGGCAAATGGGGGCAGAGTGAGATCACAGGACCAGGCAAAACTAAAATTGCTAATGAAGTTTCATGTCCCACTGGGCACGCATTGTCATTGATAACATCTTATCAGGAGACAGGGTTGAGAGCAGACAACCAGTCTGACTAAAATTTACTAGGCAGGAATTTCCTCATCCTAATAGGCCTGGGAGCGCGACGGGAGACCAGGGCTTATTTTATCCCTTATCTTCAACCGTCTAAGACAGACATTCCTAGAGTGGCCATTTTAGGGACCTTCCCCTAGGAATGCATTCTCTTTCTCAGGGCTGTTCCTTGCTGAGAAAAAGAATTCAGCAATATTTCTCCTATTCGCTTTTGTAAGAAGAGAAATATGGCTCTGTTCCACCCAGCTCTCAGGCAGTCAGACCTAATGGTTATCTCCCTTGTTCCATGAACATCACTGTTATCCTGTTCTTTTTTCAAGGTGCCCAGATTTCATATTGTTTAAACACATGCTTTACGAACAATTTGTGCAGTTAACGCAATTATCACAGGGTCCTGAGGCGACATACGTCCTCAGCTTATGAAGATGACGGGATTAAGAGATTAAAGTAAAGACAGACATAGGAAATCACAAGAGTATTGATTAGGGAAGTGATAAATGTCCATAAAATCTTCACAATTTATGTTCAGAGACTGCAGTAAAGATAGGCGTAAGAAATTATAAAAGTATTAATTTGGGGAACTAATAAACATCCATGAAATCTTCACAATTTATGTTACTCTGCCATGGCTTCAGCCAGTCCCTCCGCTCAGGGTCCCTGACTTCCCACAACATCTGGCTGGGCGCAGTGGCTTATGCCTGTAATCCCAGCAATTTGGGAGGCCGAGGTGGGCGGATCACCTGAGGTCAGGAGTTCGAGACTAGCCTGGCCAACATGGTGAAACCCCATCTCTACTAAAAACACAAAAATTAGCTAGGCATGGTGCACATCTGTAATCCCAGCTACTCAGGAGGTTGAGGCAGAAGAATTGCTTGAACCCAGGAGGCAGAGGTTGCAGTGAGCCGAGATCACACCATTGCACTCCAGCCTGGGCGATAGAGTAAGACTGTCTCAAAAAAAAAGAAGTTAATGCTTCTTCTGGTGCTTCACTATGATTAAAATCCTGAATGTTCTTGAAATTCTAAATATCAAAGACTGTCTTTCATGCTAGGCTTTTCTCCTTGATTTGTGATATTTTCAGAACAAGGATTGTTCTCTTTTACAGGTTCTAAATGTGTGGGTAGGAAGCAAGAAAAATCAGAGGCAAAGGCCGGGCAGTCTTGCTCAGGACTCTCTGCTTCAGGATGAAGATGTACTAAAACAGGCTCCCCAGTTCTTTCAAGTGCTTTCCAGTTCCTACAGTGGCAGCAGGCTTGGTCTAACAGAAACAGCAATGAACCTGGAGTAGAAAGATCTGAGTTGTAATTCTGGCTTTTCAAGTATATGACTCTAGAGGTAATTTGCTTAAATCACCTAGTCTTATCTTTAAAATGAGATTTGTAAAATTTAGCCTGATTTACTAAGATCTCTTATAATTCTAAAATCGTAATTCTACAAATTTACCCATTGCTTTGAAATCTAGTCATCTGTAATTAGTTGGCGGACATGAAAATTCACATGTTAGAATCACTTCTCAATCTCCCTTACAACTAGAGATGGCCATAGAGCCCAATTCTGGGGAAAGTTTTGCTTTTCTGATACTGGTACCACCCCATCTTCTTCTTTGTTGCTTCTTTCTTCCTTCTGCTTAGAAAGCTGTCCCCTTGAGGGGAATGGCTGGAGTTGGCAACAGATCCTTAGTCACGGTCTTCAGGGTCACAGACCTCTAATTCTATTCTACTAAATACTGTAACTGGCAGTGATGGCAGGAGCCTAGATAGACCAGTGTGCCATGTATTCCAACCACTACACTCAAATTACTGAGAACAGTTTGGGGAGTACCTAGGCTTTCACATCTCTGGAGACAGTGATTAGTCTCTAGGCTATATCTTTACAGGTTGTCTCTTATTAGAACAAAAAGCTATACCTTCATGAGATCACCTTGGCTGGTGTCTCTAGTGTTTTTAGGCAATCCTCATGTCCAATCCTTATCAGTTCTCTTTCAAAGGCCCTGCAGAGGCTATTCCAATCCCTTTCTGCCTTTTTAGACACCCACCCATCCCTAGGCCCCTTCACTCCTGGCATAAGACCTCATCAACCTGTTCACTAAGAAGGCTAGGAATTTGTAACATAAACCTATTTACCTGCTTTCCTCTCCATCTAAAATGTTATCTGGGTCATCAACTTAGCCTTCTTCCTTCTCCTCTTTCAGGAGACACATGCCCACTTCTCTTTCAAATGCTCACCCTTCTACTGGGGTTCTTGATTTAACCCTCTCCTGCCTCCTCTGAGACCTCATTCCCTTGTTCCTCTTCAATCTCCCTTTCCTCTCTGATTCTCTGCGGTGCTGCTGCTTTTTTTCTCTCCCTTAGTAATCACACCCATCTCCATACTGCAGCTTCCAGAATCTACATCTCTGGCCAGAACTCAAACCTGCTCTTACAACTGCCACCTGCAAAACACACTACCTGGATGCCCCATCGACATCCAAATCCATACCCTGTCCAAAATGTAACATTCCTCTACCCCTTTAACAGCTCCTCCTTTGCCTTCCTGGTTACATTCCCTGGTTAAAAACCCAATGGTCTTCCTAGCTACTCAGACTCAAACCTTAGGATTCCTCTTTGACCCCTGCCTCGCTCCCCATACACAGGCAGTAATGTTTGTTCTTGCACCCTTTCTACTCATACCTATCCATTTTATCCACTTCACTGCAGTAACCTTCAAAGAGACCACCAGTTTCTTCTCTCTGCTTCCACCGACTCATTTCACATAGTTATTTTTCTAAAGGCCAGTCTGTTTATGGTGTCCCTTTCCTTCCAAAAAAATTTCCTATTGCCCACACTCAATTAAGCACTGGAGGGCCAGAACATAATAATATTAATTAGTATTGTTTAACTAATACTAATTAATAGTAGTTATTAATAACATAACTACAACTTTAGTTAGTAGTTAAACAAAACATACAAAAATAAAATAGTAAAACATAGTAAAAACATAGTAGTATTAATATAGTGAGTAGTTAAACATAACTATTACTAATACAAACATAGCCTGAAATAGGAAATAGTATTAAACATTTATCAAGCCACCCCTATCAGGCACTATCCCAAGTGATTTCCACATACTAACCTACTTAAATATCTTGACAACTTTATAAGGTCAGCACCAGCAATACTCCCATTTTATAGATGCGGACATTAAGGCACACAGAAGTTGGAGTAACTTGGCTAAAGTCACATAGCAAAAAATTTCTTGACTACAAATTTGCAGCTTTGAGTGCACTGAAGTTCTGAAGTTGATTCATTTAATTAGTGCTCTATGTGACCCACTGCAGAGCCATCTGTGGGCAAACAATGAATTGCCAACCAATGGCCCCAGATAGAGCAACAAACGCTATTAGATAAATGGTGAAGCAGGCATTCCTGATGAACTGCTGGTCTCCTCTGCCAAAAGATGAACAACCCACTAGGTGACCCAGAGAGACTGGCAAGCCTAACATGTTAAAAGAATCAAAAGTCAGGAAGTCTAGAGATAACTCTCTCTTCTCCCCATGCTACTTCGTCTATCCATAAAACAGAAATAGTATCTTTCTTGGACTTCTTGGGAGGAAAACTGTCCTCTCTGTGTGTCTCACCTGATGTTCCTCATGGGAGAAGTGACTTCTCTCACACCGATGCTACTGGGGAATGGTCATTGCATGCACGCTGCCCAGTGCCATTAGCAATGAAGCACAGAGACGAAGAGCATGGCCTCTGAAGCCAAACTGCCAGTTTGAACCCTAACTCTACCATTTGCAAGCTGCATAACTCATGGAAAGTTTCTTAACCAAACTGTACCTTAGTCGCCTCATCTAAAATACTACCAGAGTAGAGGTGCCTACTAGAAAGTAAACATTCAGTAAATGTTAGCTATTACCACCGTAATTTGGACTTTCACAAGAGACCTGCCTCACATCTCATCTGTACTCATGTCTCTTCTGTGCATTAAGCCTACTGAGTCAGGCTCTGCCCCTGTGGAGGAAAGCCTGAAACCAGCCCAGCGCCTCTGCCTGGCCTGGGTGGGTAAGTTCACAATGATGCAAAATAAATAAGAAGCCCATTTTAGATCTGGATCCAGGCCATGTGTTTCTGTGTCACTTTACCAGCCATACAGCTGACACTTAGGTGCCTATTTGGCTCCTACGTGTATTTTTTTTTATTAGTCTGAACTCAAAGGGGAGAGAATGTGACTAACTTGTAGCTCCAAACCCTAACATCCAAAGATATGCGATATCTCTACCCTCAAAGAACATAAATTACAGAAGACAAGAAATCAAGGCTGAAAGAATGTTCTTAAATGGCAAGCGAAAAAGGGATACCGAAAAGGAAGCATGTATAATTCACATGCAGGAATATAAAGTATCCTTACAGGCCGGGTGTGGTGGATCATGCCTGTCATCTCAGAATTTTGCGAAGCCAAGAGTGGAGGATCCTTTGAGCCCAGGTGTTCAAGACCAGCCCAGGCAACAGAGCGAGATCCCATCTCTACAAAAAATTAAAAAATTAGCTGAGCCTAATGGTGCATGCCTGTATTCCCAGCTACTTGGGAGGTTGAGGAGGAAGGATCACTTGAGCCCATGAAGCAGAGGGTGCAGTGAGCCATGATCGTGCCACTGTGGTTCTGGGCTACAGAGGGAGGCTCTGTCTCTTAAAAAAAAAAAAATAATACTTACATAGGCACTAAGTCATCAATGGAGAGAAGGGACATTCAAGCAAAAAATACATAAGACAGGGGCATGCTTATATGATGCCAGTGTGCCCTTACATAAATGATACTGACAAGTTTACTGAACATATCAGAATAAAAATAGTTTTTAAAGTTACCTCTGCAACTGTTTTACTAAAGAGTCACAGTTGTCTAAGGATTTGGAAAGCCCTGATTGGTTGACACCTTGAGGAGGCTTTTGGGGTAAATATTCCCCAGGTTCAGTTGCTGGGGACTGGGGCATTCTCTGTCAAGCACTTACTACAAAATTCCGCGTACTCAGCTGGCAGGAGGAAGGTCTGGGGGAGGATGTGAAAAGCCTTGAATCCATGTGTATGCTGCATTCGAATAATGTTTTTGTACAGTCGGTCCTTCCGGGTAAGTTCATAAGACCTGAAAAATCAAAAAAGTATTTCCATTCAGTAAACTATGACTCAGAATTTTCCTGTGTTATCACATTCTAAAGAGTTACAGTTCACAGTCCTAGACCGGTTAGTGAAGATAGTATTGTATCCTAAACATATCGCTGTTAATCCAAAAGGCTTATTAATCATTTTTATCAAATGGGTTTTTTGGTCAGATTTTTTCATTAAGATAAAATCTCCATACAGTAAAATTTGCCCTTTTTAATGTGTAATTCTATGAGTTTGGACAAACACATACAATTATGTAACCACCACCACAATCAAGATAAACAACAGTTTCAACATCCCAAAAAGTTACCTCAAGTCCCCCTGTAGTGGACCCTCCCAATCACCTCCAGCCCCTGGGAAAACATTCATTTGTTTTCTGTCCTTATAATTTTGCCTTTTCCAGAAAGTCAAATAAGTGGAATCAGACAGTGTGTATCCTTTTGAGACTAGCTTCTTTCACTGAGCACAACTCATTTGAAATGTATCATTGTTGCATGTATCAGTATTCTGTCCCTTTTCTTGCTCAGTAGTAATCCACTGTATAGATGTACCATGGTTATCCATTCACCAGTTGAAGGCATTTGGATTGTTTAATTTTTGGAGATTATGAATAAAGTTGCTATAAAGCATTTCCATATAGATTTTTATATGAATGTACGTTTTTGTAAGTTTTACTGTAAACGTAAGTTTTTATTTCTCTAGAAGTGGGACTGCTTGGTTGTTCAGTAAGTTGTTTTAGTTATTTATTGCTGTACAACAAATTACCCTAAAACACAGCAGCTTAAAATAACAGTATATATTTATGACCTCATAGTTTCTGGGGCCAGGAATGTGGGAGTGAGAGAGCTAGGTGGTTCTGTCCCAAGGTCCTTTATGAGGTTACAGTCAAGATACTGGCCAGCACTGCAGTCATCAGGCTCAAGAGAGGATGGAAAACCCAACTTCCAGATGGCTCATCACTCACATGGGGCTGCCTGCTGGCAGGAGGCCTCAGTTCCTCCCCACATGAACTTTTTCATAAGGCCAAGTGCCTTCATGACGTGACAACTGGTTTCTCCCAGATCAAGTGATCCAAGAAAGTGAGCAAGAAGCTGTAATGTCTTTTACAATCTAGTCTCAGAAGCGATAATCACTTCTGTCATATTCCACTAGTTAGAGGCAAGTCACTAAATCCAGTCAACACTCAAGAACAGAAAAATTAAGTTAAACCTTTTGAAAACAATGTCAAAGAATTTATGGACACATTTTACAATCACCACATATGTTAAACTTTATAATGAACTGCCAAATGGTTATTCTGAGGAAAACAAGCTCCGTTTCTCCTGCTATATTCTGAGATATTGAGGAAAAACCAAAGTGTTTTTCCTACTCTCTACTCTCAATTCAACATAATCACTCAACACTTTAGACACCAAATGTGTGTTTCCCCACACACAAAGCAAGCAATCTTGCAGTGGGTGTCCTCTAATTCAACTCAAATTTGACCCTACCTACCTCGAGATAGTGTCAGTTCCCATAAGTTGAAGGCTCAGTCCCACAAGACTGCCTCCCACTTCCAATGCCAATAGCAAGCCCCAAGTTGTTTTACCTGTGCTTCTAACCACCTGGCTATAAATAGGCATCCCTACGACTCCCTCCTTGGGATCAATTAATTTGTTAGAGCAGCTCACAGAACTCAGAGAAACATTTATGTTTACTGGTTTATTAAAAAGGATATTACAAAGGATATAGAGGAAGACATGCACAGGGCGAGGTATGAGAAAGGAGGCACAGAACCTCTATGCGATCTCCAGGCACACTACTGGCCAAGAATCTCCATGTATTCTGTTACCCAGAAGCTCTCCAAACCCAGTCCTTTTGGGTTTTTATGGAAGCTTCATTACACAGGCATAATTGATTGGACACTGGTGACTAATTTAACTTTCAGCCCCTCTTCCCTTCCTGGAGGCTGAGGGGTGGGCTGGAAGTTATAACCCTCTAATCATGCCTTGGTCTTTTCTTGTAACCAATCCCCATCCGGAAGCTACCTAGGGACTGCCAGGCACCAGTTAAGTCATTAGTATATAAAAGGACACTTCTCACTCTGGAGATTCCAAGGAGCCAAGGAGTTATATGTCAGGAAACACGAGGAAGACTAACTACATATTTCACAAGATCACAGTTATCCAGAGTGGCTATACCACTCTGCATTCCCGCCAGCAAAAGTGTTCCAGTTGCCATGCATCCTGGCCCACACTTGGTGTTTTCTGGCTTTTGTTTTTAGCCATTCTAACGGGTATACTGATACTTTGTATAGTTTTAATTTGTATTCCATTAATTACTAATGCTATTGAGCATCTTTTCACGAGCCTCTTTTATTTGCCATCCCTGTATCTTCTTTGGTGAGGCATCCATTCAGATATTTTACCCACTTTGAAAAATAAAGTTGTTTGTTTCCTTATGGTTGAGTTTTAAGAGTTTGTTATATATTCTGGACACAAATTCTTTATCAGTTATGTGTTTTGCAAATATTTTCTCCAGTCCATAGCTTGTTTTTTCATTTTCTTAACAGTGTCTTTCAAAGAGCAGATATTTTTAATTTTTAAAAGGTCAAATTTAGGTGAGGCATGGTGGCTCACGCCTGTAATCCCAGCACTTTGGGAGGCTGAGGCAGGTGGATCATTTGAGGTCAGGAGTTCGAGACCAGCCTGACCAACACGATGAAACCCCGTCTCTACTAAAACTACAAAAAAAATCAGCCAGCCGTAGTGCATGCCTGTAGTCCCAGCTACTCGGGAGGCTGAGGCAGGAGAATCGCTTGAACCCAGGAGGCAGAGGTTGCAGTGAACCAAGATCACACCACTGTACTCCAGACTGGGTGACAGAGCGAAACTGTCCCCCCACAAAAAAACCAAAAAGGTCAAATTTATCAATTTTTTCCTTTTATGACTGTGCTTCTATTGTTGCATCTAGGAATCCTTTGTCTAACACAAGGTTGCAAAGATCTTGTCTATGTTTTCTTCTATAAGTTTTACAGTTTATGTTTTATTTTTAGGTCTATGACCCTTATTTCAAATGGGTTTTTAAAAATTGATTCACAGGTATAAAAATCTATTCTAAAACAGATTTCAAATATAAGTAAACAACAACAAAAAAGTTTGACTGTTGATAAATATACCCAAAATTTCAGGTTATAAAAACCGAACCTGTGAAAGAAATTCTAGCTTCAAAACCTTCAACAGAGTCTGTGCTATTCACTATTATAAATCATTATAAAATATTTTAGGACCCCTGTGTGTTTTACTTTAATGGAATCATGATTCTCTAATAGCATAAAATCATCTGGATTACTCAGATAGTGAAAAAAACACCAGTACTCCAACTAAAAGCAAGCTCCCAAACCAAAGCATTCTGGAAGTTTTTATACCACAGGTATCTACAGATGTGACCTTCTGAGAAACATAGCATGGCAAAAAAAAAATTCTGAGTTAATTCTAAGTAGAATGTAAATTGAGAAAGATTAGCTACTAAAACATCAGAATTTCTGAGATGTTATCTTAATTTGGTTTTAGGGGGAAAAGCATTTAGCATATTTTTAAAAAGGACTGTCCAGGAAAATCAAACACATGGTTATCTAATCCACGTTTATAAATGTATTGCCATAGCAATAACTGCCCAACCTCTCATGTAACTATGTGGAACTCTTATCATCACTAGCACCACGGGCCTGAAATGACCCTTCCAGATGGGACCCAAGACAGGCCTTAATTTTAGAGTATAATGATCCTATTACAGTAAAGACCCAGGTTAGGAACCCCGTTGAGAACTTAACTACATCATTGAGAGATGGATATAGAAGAGGCAAAGTTATAAAGAAAATCGGGGCAATTAGCACCTTAAAACCAGGGTAATAATTACTATTATATCAGGGGTACATTCTTGTGTACAGTACTCCAAAAAGGCACCTTGGTTAGCCTCGACTGGACTCATTGATCTATGATTTGTTCCACTCCTTCAAAACCAACTAAGAACCTTTGTGGTAATCATTAAAAACTTACTCAACCTGTTCCACAGTTCAAATTTCTTTCTATGAGTTCAGAAACTGCTTTGGCAAATCTAGGTACCACAAACATTTCTTTCTTATCTACGGCCCTCTTCTGAAATCCAGAGCAGAGGTACTCAATTTTTAGTGTATGTAAGAATCACCTAGAGAACTTCCTAAAAAATGCATGTTCCTGGGTCTCACCTCTCAAAATTCTGGGATGAAGCCCAGGATTCTGCATTTTAAACAAGTACCCCAGAAGATTCTGATACAGATGGTCCAGGACCCACACTAACTGCTGATGTAATCTACAACAGTAATTTCCAAACTTCCCTGTTACAAATTACCTCAATGCTTTTTAAATATATAGCTTTCTAGGTACATATTTACCTGGAAAGGTAAGGTAACTAGGAAAGTGCTCAAATATACACCTTCTCTAGAGATGGTAACTTCCATGAATCTGCAATGGGACCTGAGAATGCATATTTTGCAAAAGTACCCTAGGTAATTCTTATCATTAGGGAATTACAAACACTGAACCAGAGGCTAAGAAAAAGAATGCACTCTCCTACAGATGCCCCACATCAGTGGTTTTCAAACTTCTTTGCTTGGTACATCCTAGAATAATTTGGGGAAACTATATATCCTCTTGCATGTTTAAGCTAGCATGTAAGATTTTTCATCATAAATTTAAATTGTTCCAAAGAATATGATGAATGGTAAATATTACATTAAGACAAAATCATAACACCACCCTTTTTTTTTTTTTTTTTTTGAGACAGAGTCTCTCTGTGTTACCCAGGCTGGAGTGCAGTGGCACAATCATAGCTCACTGAAGCCCTGACCACCCCAAACTCAGGTGATCCTCCCACCTCAGCATCGCAAGTTGCTAGGCACATGCCACCATGCCCAGCTAAATTTTTTGTTTTTTTTAGAGCCGGGGTTTTGCCATGTTGCCCAGGGTGGTCTCCAACTCCTGGGGCTCAAGCGATCTGTCTGCCTTGGCCTCCCAAAGTGCTGGGATCACAGACATGAGCCGCTGCACCTAGCCAACACCACACTTTTAAGTATATTGAAGGGAACCTAAACAACATCAAGATTCAATACCTCATTTTTAAAATGTTATTAAAGGAAAAGCTCTGTCAGTAAAATTTTCACTTTTTAAAATATGCTTTTTAATGAAGTTAACGTATGTACAGAAAAGTATACAAAGAACACGGCAGGGCATAATGAATTTTTACAAAGTGAACACAACTGTGTAGCCACCACTCAAGTTCTGTATAGAACATTCCCAGCATGCCAGAAAAGCCTCCCTCAGACTGCCACACAGACACTATCCCCCAGTCACTCTTGTTTTTAATTCTTTCATTTCCCACAAACAACAGGTTAGCCTAACGTATTTAATACTTGTCTTTTACATCATATCATACCTTCTGTACAGCAAAATTATACATAGGAATTGGCATATATTTTTAATTCCCTGTGACCGTAAGGCTATAACTGTTTATATATACATGACTGATTATCATTGCAAGTATTGTAGTATACAATTCATCCAAACACCAATGACGCTCAACTCTGTGAACTCCTTCCTAATTACACATCAAAAAATTATAAAATGATCTGTCATCAAAATTATGTTTAATGATCAGCTAATAGCTAGATTATATCATCCTTCAATTATTTTAAAAACAAAGAAATAGAAACTACCATCATGCAAAAAGGATTTGTTATGCTATTACTAGAATTAAATTAGACACTAATTTTTTTCTACCTTTCTTTGGAACCCTGAAAATTTCTACACCTAAGGACAATATACCAGACTAAGATTCTAGGTGAGCCATTCTTTAATAAAAGTGAAAAAACAGTAACTGTGAAGGGGAAGTAAGAAAGGCAAACCCATCCTCATGAGGTACTCCCAAGCAGCTCAACTTTAGGAAAGAGAACCAGAAACTATCTCCTTTAAAACCATCCATGTCTATATAGCCCTTAGAAAGTGTTCATTCATGCTCAGGGATATGAACACAACAGTTTGATTTGCAGAGTGCTGTTCCGTACCAGAAAAATTTCTTCTTCTGGCCGGGCGTGGTGGCTCATGTCTGTAATCCCAGCACTTTGGGAGGCCAAGGCAGGCAGATCAATTGAGGTCAGGAGTTTGAGACCAGCCTGGCCTACATGGCGAAACCTCGTCTCTCCCAAAGATACAAAAATTAGCCGGGCATGGTGGTGCAAGCTTGTATTCCCAGCTACTGGGTAGGCTGAGGCAGGAGAATTGCTTGAACTCAGGAGGCAGAGGTTGCAGTGAGCCAAGATCATGCCACTGCACTCCAGCCTGGGTGACAGAGCGATACTCATCTCAAAAAAAAAAAAAAAAGTCCTTCTTCTTCTTCATTTTCATCTTCCTCTTCTTTAAGGACACTAATTACCTTTGCTGGCTACATGCCCCAATGTCATGTACCTTTAAATGAAGCAAAGCAGCTACAAAGAGCATTACCTGGGAAAGTGATTAACTTTTTGTGCTTCAGAGAGGGTGCGCAGTAAGAAGGGCTTCAGGTGGGATCCTGTCCACATTAGGTTATAGTCAGTGCTGCTTGGGTGAACCTGAGGGCAGACAGAAAGACAAGAAGGCAAAAAAACATCAGAGATACCCCTTCTCCAGGAAAAGCAATGGCAGAAAAAGCCACAGTGATTTTTTCATCCACAGTGTACTCACCGGGGTGGCCCAATTAGTACGTGAGCCTAGTGAGACAAAAGCAGTGTATCACAGAACAAGTTCAAGGAATGGGAGGGTTGGGCAAATCCCCGATGCAGAAACTAAAATAAATTAACCCTTCTATAGAAACCCATGATGTCTCTTAATATTCTTGCATTTCTTTCTCAGGCTTTCCTTATCCTTGCAGAAACTGAGTATGAAGTGCTGATCAGAGATAAACCTTATAGTAGCAAACCGACTTAGAATTCACCCATTCATCCATTAAAATTCTTTTGTCCATTAATTCAACAATAAGGCGCCATGTTAAGTGCCAGAAATAAAACAGCAACAAGACAGGATACAAACTGGTATCAGAACTTCCCTCACGGACAAGTGCGGTGGCTCATGCCTGTAATCTCAGCACTTTGGGAGGCCGAGGCGGGAGGAGCGCTTGAGCTCAGGAGTTTGAGACTATCCTAGCAACATATTAAGACCCTGTCTCTATAAAAAAAATTTTTTTTTTAATTAGCCAGGAGTGGTGCCATGCACCTGTAGTACCAACTACTTGGGAGGCTGAGGCAGGAGAATCACTTGAGCCCAGGAGTTCAAGCCTACAGTGAACTATGATCATGCCACTGTTCTCCTGCCTGGGTAACTCAGTGAGACTCCATCTCTAAAAATAAAAAATTAAAAAAAAAAAAAAACTTCCTCAAAATGTCTCTTACAAATCTCAAGCTAGGAACCAGACTTTTATCAACTGTCACAAAGTGTCTATAGTGGAAGTGTCTGTTCAGCCTTTTTGCCTGTCCTTTTTGATGTTTACATTCCAATCTTCCAACTTTCTTTGGAGAATGACTTACTCCATGGTTTTCAAGAACCTGTCAATCACCCACCCATCCCCTCCTGCAAGGAGTGGATCCAAACCCAAGCTAGGCCAATCATTCTATCTCCAGAATGTGATTTTTGAGCAAGGAAAGACAAAAGGACAATGAATGGAGTCCAGTCACGCCCATGGCAGTGCCTTGAGAAAATGATCCTGAACACTCCTGTTCCTCCTCGGTGCCAGCCATGCAGGCCTCTCCCCATCTGACCTTCACTCGGGGACCTTCCCTGGCTGTGCTGAAGACTCCTGTTCCTATATCCTTGGGGCTTGTCCTGGTCTCTCTCCTTCCAAAGGCCTGCCTTTTCAGCTTTTTCTCTGATTCTGCTAGTCCCCTCTGCACATCATTCTGACAAATCCCTTTTGGGTTTGTTTTTTTTTTTTTTTTTGAGACGGAGTCTCACTCTGTCACCCAGGCTGGAGTGCAGTGGTGTGATCTCGGCTCACTACAACCTCCACCTCCCAAGTTCAAGCGATTCTCCTGCCTCGGGCTCCTGAGTAGCTGGGACTACAGTTGCACACCACCACACCCAGCCAATTTTTGTATTTTTAGTAGAGACGGGGTTTCACCATGTTGGCCAGGATGGTCTCGATCTCCTGACCTTGGGATCCACCTGCCATTTCAAGTTAAGCAAAGTCTGTTCAGTTGCCTGCAATCAAAGAACCTTAATTGGGTGTCAGACAATTCCTTATGGGCAACGGTGCCCCTAGCCCAAGCCCAAGAACGTAGCAAGAAAAAATTTTTTTCTAAAATCATCTGGAAACGTTTTCCATGTATTGCAAGCAGAAACTGGTAAAGCCACTCCAAAATTCAATCTGAGTTCTGGACCACCACTAAGCATTGGTCCCATGTACTTCCTGGAGCTGGCCCTGTTAACTGGTAAAGTCAGTTAGGTGGCTGGGATTTTCAGCTTATGAGCAGATCAGGTGAGGTATTAAAAATAAACTTACTTCATGAAATCCATGGGCTGTCAGAATGCTGCGTACTAGGCGACTGTCCGTTCGTACAATCTTATAAGACAAATGATAACGTTCTAAAGAAAAACAGAATCAAGTTCAGTAACTAGAAAGTTAACTGTAAAAACAAAAATAAACTGTAACATGGTGGCTTAATTATACTCAATAACATTACATGCTACCATTAAAATGATTATAAATAAGTTGAACGTATTTTGGACCATGAGTTCTTAAAATGAGACTCTTTGGAGGTCATTAGACATAGATGGGGGAAAAATTACACCTTGGTTTTCACTAGTTTCTAGTTGAAATTTAACAATGGCTTCAATTAAGATTTTAAGTAACAAAACAGGCAGTATTAACATTATCTGTGACCCTGCCACTAACAGACATCAGATATTTTTAATATTATTTTACAGTATATCTCAAAATATCAATTATTCTCATAGTATTTAAAGATTATAGTAGTTAATAGACCTTCACTAGATTGTTATTTAATACACTAATAAAAAAGCACATGTCACAATTTCTTAAAAAATATTCTGATTACTATATTTCAATACAATGTATTTCCTTTGTAATTACGTACTTTTTAAAAATCTATTTTAAAACACTCTTCTGCGAAGAGGCCCATGGGCTTCTCCAGACTGCCAAAGGGATCTATTGTACCAAAAAGGTTAAAAACCCCTGCTCTAGGCTGGGCATGGTGGCTCACGCCTGTAACTCCAGCACTTTGGGAGGCCAAGGTGGGCGGATCACCTGAGGTCAGGAATTCGAGACCAGCCTGGCCAACATTGTGAAACCCCATCTCTACTTAAAAATACAAAAAATTAGCTGGGTGTGGTGGTACGCACCTGTAATCCCACCTACTCGGGAGGCTGAGGCAGGAGAATCACTTGAACCCGGGAGGTGGATGTTGCAGTGAGCGCCGAGATCATGCCACTGCACTCCAGCCTGGGGGACAAGAGCAAGACTTCATCTCAAAAAAAAAAAAAAAAAAAAAAAATCCCTGCTCTAGATAGCCCTCTGTATCCTATAATGCTGATTACCAGTACATCTTAGACCAGAGGTTAGAAACTGGTAGCCCAAGGATGAAATCCAGCCTGCAGACATGGTTGGTTTGTTTCTCATGGTGCTCTAAAAATGAAATTGAATTCATTGCTTAGCTTCTGAAATGGAAAGAATTCGTATACAACTCTAGATTTCTAGACGTCTCTTAAAAAAACCTGGAAACCTGGGCTTTCTTCTCTCCAATGGCAAGAATCAGCTGGAGAACTGCACCTGCCCCATTCAGGACAGGCCACACTCTTCAGTTCAGCTCAGGATCCAGCCTGCCTCACTCAATCACATTTCCTGCCAGGGCCAAGTAAGCGTTTGTGCTTGTGACCACTATGGGAGCGGAAAGTCTGAAACCATGTGAGATTTCAATGTATTTACTCTGGACCACTGAATTCAATCTCTTTCTATGCACCACTACTAACTGAAAAAGTTAGCTAAGAATTCTGCTGAAGAATTTTTTTAGAGGACTTCATATTGAACAGTTTCTGAATTGAACAATTCTGAATGATACAGACACTCATGGACAGACTCTAGAACAATATTCAGCCTCTGTAGTCAAAGACAACAATTTCTCTTTCAAGTTTATGTGAAGATATTCATAAATCTCTGCTGCTACTTACTCAGCACTGGCAGGAACACCATGCAAAGCAGACACAGGAGGATTAACATTTAAAATGTCAATCACTTCGTCCTTTTCATTCTTGTGGGCAAACTTTCAAAGCCAAGTAACAGTGTTATCCCAGTGATCAGTCACTATTACTTTGTCTTTGCAGTATCATCATAAGAAACACTGCAGAATCATGTGTGGGAATCACAAAATAGGCTTAGAATATCTTGCAATGTCAAAAAAGGGAAATACTCAAAAACTGATTAGGGACATGTCACTAAGAGCTTAAAAGGGCTCTTGAGGGCCAAGTTTAAGACAATTTGAATGCAAAAATGAATAGTGATAGAGATAGATTATAATGTACTTATAAAAGAATCCATGTATCCACACTTACAAGGAGTCGAGAGGGAATATTGGTTTTCTTTTGCTGCTGTGACAAATTACAACACATTTGTTGTTGTAAGGCAAATTTATTGTCTTACAGCTCTGTACATCAGAAGTCGAACACAGGTCTCACCAGGCTAAAACCAAGGAATTGGCAGAGCTGTGTTCCTTTCTGTGGGCTCTGGGTAGGATTTGTTTCCTTCCCTTTTCCATTCCTTGGCTTATGGCTTATGGTCCCCTTCCTCTATCTTTGAAGTCAACCATGGTTGCATGTAGTCTTTTTCACATCACAACACTCTGGCCTCTTCTACCTCCTTCTCCCACTTTAAAAAACTCTTGTGATTACATTGGGCCCACTTGGATAGTCCAGGATAATCTCCTTATCTTAAGGCCAGTTGATTAGCAACTTTAATTCCATCTAAACCTTAATTCATCCTATGCCATGTAAGATAACATATTCACAGATTCTGGAAATTAGAAGGTAGACATCTTTAAGGGACCATTATTCTGCCTACCACACAAGAGAAAGCTATTATTTACAGAGAATCCAGCTAATAAATGTAGAAGGAAAGACAGAAATGAAAAATCACCATTTTACAAAAACTATAAGAGTAAGTGATTCAAACAAGAATCAGTAGATACCAATGGGGAGAGGCTATTAGGGAATAGGACACGCATACATCTCAAAATATCTTACCAGAGAATGCTTATAACAAAGGGAAAAGGCACCTTTAAAATGAAGCCATCTGGTGAACACAGTCTTAACCAAATGATCAAATGTGCCATCACCAATACTGCAAAATAATAGCATCACATACTCCCAAATGTTATACACTGGGGATACAGTTTCACTAAGCAATATTCCTGCAGATTTTTAAAAATCTGAATCTAAACATGTAGGAACCATCAAACATGGATAACAATCAAATTTAAGGATATCTGTAAAACAAGCAGTCTAGAATATTTAAAAATGTCAATGTCATGGAAGACAAAAAAAAAGTCTAGGAAATGGCTGTACAGTAGACTAAGGAAATATGACAACAAAATGTAATATTTGATTGGATCCTGAATAGAAAAACAAAAAACCACTATAGAAGACTAAATTGGAACAATGGGGAAATCTGCATAGATTAGATCTATGGATTAGATAACAGTATTTTGCCAGTGACACATTATTGTGCTTATATAGAATATGCCCTTATTCTCAGGAGTCACAAGCTGAATAATGTATTAGGGCATGCAATATTTTACTAATTCTCAAATGGTTCAGAAAGAGAGAAGCAAATATGGCAAAATGTAAGTAATGGGTGATTCCAGGGAAAGACTATATGCGTTCATTGTACTATTTTTGTAACTTGTCTGAAGGTTTTTAATTTTTCTAAATAAAATGTGTACAAAAATGAAAAAATATCTGGTCCTTTCATTATGATAACCATGATCACTAACATTTTTGCACATGAAAAGTCAAAGCATCATCAGCTACACAGTGACTGCTAGAAATAAGGACTGAACCCAATTCTGTGCATGTTCTGCAGTGCTTGCCCCTCACTGCCCAGCCACAGGGGAGGTGATCAGTAAGGTGTGTGAGAAAATAGAGAACAGTTACATGGGGAATAAGAGACAAGGGGGAATAATAACAAGTCTGGGCATGGTGGCTCATGCCTGTAATCCCAGTACGATGGGAGGCTGGAGCTGGAGGGCTGCTTGAGACCAGCAGTTCAAGATCGGCCAGGGCAACATAGCGAGACCTCGTCACTAACAAAAAAAAAAAAAATTTTTTTTTTTAATTAGCCAAGTGTACGGGTGGGCGCCTGTAGTCTTAGCTACTCAGGAGGCTGAGGTAAGAGGACTGCTTGAGCCCAAGAGTTCAAAGTTACAGTGAGCTATGATCACACCATTGCACTCCAGCCCAGGTGGCAGAGCAAGACCCTGTCTCTTAAAAAAAGAGAGAGAGAGAAACCAGCCTGGGAAACATGGTGAAACCCCATCTCTACTAAAAATACAAAATTTAGCCAGGCATGGTGCTGTGCGCCTGTAGTCCCAGCTACCTGGGAGGCTGAGGCAGGAGGATCACCTGAGCCTTGAAAGGCTAAGGCTGCAGTGAGTCATGATCAGGCCACTGCACTCCAGCCTGAGTGACAGGGTGAGACCCTGTCTCAAAAAAAAAAAAAAAAAAAAAAAGAGAGAGAGAGAGAAAGAGAATCTCTAGAATCAAACTAGGGTTCAAACCCTGATTCTACCACTTCCTCCCTGTAGCCTTCAATAAATTGTTTAATTTCTCTATGATCAATTTCCTCACCTGTAAAATGGAGTTGATAATAACAGTAGTTACTGCATAGAGTAGCTGTAAGCACTAAATCAGTTAATACATGTAAAGCTATGAAACAATTATTCTACACAGTATAAATTATTTTTATATAGTAAAAAAATAATAAAAGTCATTAGTATATGCACTGTACATAATTATACATTTTATATAGCAAATTAAAAAATTAAAATGGGCCAGGTGTGGTGGCTCATGCCTGTAATCCCAGCACTTTGGAAGGCCGAGATGGGAGGGCTGCTTGAGGCCAGAAATTTGAGTCCAGCCTGAGCAACATAGGAGACCCTGTCTCTACAAAAATTTAAAAATTAGCCAGACATGGTGGTACATGTCTCTAGTCCAAGCTACTCAGGAGGCTGAGGCAAGAGAGTTGCTTGAGCCCAGGAGGTCAAGGCTGTAGTAGTGAGTTGTAATCATGCCACTGCACTTCAGCGTGGGTGACAGAGCAAGACCCTGTTTCAGAAAAAAAAAAAAAAAAAAGTAAAATGCTATCAATATTATTTCTCCTACTCCTCCTAATATAAAAGAAAAATACAACTGCCACCACACTCAGTGGCAAATCTGATTCTTACAATACATAAATAGTAAGCAGTGACAAGCCACTTCTAATCCATATCACCTAACTATAACCCAACTCAGATACACTGAACATGTTCCAAAAGAGTAGTGCAAAAAAAGAAGGGTGGAATGACAGAATGCAAACATCACTGCTGGAGATTTTTAGTTCATATATACTCTGTGTCCGGTAGCCCTCTGTGTGCAATAAGGCTGGTGGGTAGTATATTTTAGACTAGAGGTTACAAATTAGTGACCCAAGAACCAGACCTAGCCTGCAGATGTGGTCTGTCACTCACGATGCTTCAAAATAAAACTAAATTAGTTGCTAAGCCATTGAAAATTGGAAAAATTCATATAAAAATATAGATTTCTAGGCTTCTCTTAAGAAACCTGGTAATGATGGTTATTTTTATGTGTCAACTTGACTGGGCCACAGGATGCCCAGATACCTGGTTAAATGTCATTTATAGGTGTCTGTGAGGATGTCTCCAGAAGAGATGAGCATTTAAATATAGGGAATGAATAAAGCAGATTACCCTCCCAAATGTGGGTGGGAATCATTTAATCCATTGAGGGCAAGAATAGAACAAAAGGGTGATTGGTTTTGCTCTCTCTCTGCCTGACTGGTTGAGATGGGACACAGACCTTCTCTGCCCTCGACACTCCTGGTTCTCAGGAATTCAGACTCAGAGTGGAATCTATACCACTGGCTCTCTGGCTCACAGGCTTTCAAACTGGACCACCAACTTCCCAGGGTCTCCAACTTGCAAATGGTAGATAATGGGACTTTTTAGCTTACATAATTACATAAACCAATAACCTTATAACAACATTCATTCCTCCCTTCCCCCTCCCTGTCTCCTTGTATCCTATTGGTTCTATTTCTCTGGAACACCCTGACTAATATGTACCTGGGCTTTCTCTCCCGTAACAAGAACTCTGACTAATATGCCTAGGCTTTCTCTCCCATGACAAGAGTCAAATGGAAGATTGCAACTGTAAACTGAAGCTGCCCAACTGCCTAAGAAAGAACCACCTCATCCCATGTTTTCTTCTGTATAAAAACATGAGGCAGAGCATGGTCCTCCTTGACTACTAGCAAACTGCCAAATATCCTATTTCTAAGCCTCTTAACATGCATCACATCAATTCCACCATAGAAGAGACCACAGAATTTCCTCTTCTCCAACCACTCACATGTGCCCCTAGAGGCAACTTGAAGTGCTAGGACCCCTAGCAAGTTCCAGGACAGACCACAGCAGAGCAAATGAAAACAAACCAATAATCTAACTGTCAACACAGAGAAGTACCTAGAGAGCAATGAAACGCCTTAAAGGGTTTAAACAAAAATAGCATGGGAAATAGGATAAAGATAAAGCTGACATTTTTGACTTGTAGAACACAAAAATAACTCCTTTAATGGCAACATAGTGTAGCTGTGCCCTAGTATCAGAAAATTAGGTTACCTAGAATTAGGATTAGGATATTTGTGCTGTCGAATGTGTGTGACTAATAAGCACTTGAAATGTCCTTATTTAACTTTAGTTAATTTAAATTTAAGAATGAATACTTGATTCAGTTACTGGAAATCCTATTTTAAACAATTTGCCTGTGGGGAGGGGAAGAAACAATTGAGTATATGAATTTACTTTTTAAACTATAAAAGTTATAAAATCTAAATATAGACCGAATATTTCCAATGAAAATTTTGCAAATTGAGATGCTCTGTTATGTTAAAATATATACTAGATATAAAATATTAATGGTTTTTTTATATTGAGTAAATGTGGAAATGATAATATTCTGGAATATATTGGGTTAAATAAAATATATTATTAAAATTAATTTCACCTACCTGTTTCCTTTTACTTTTAAAAATAATTTCCTACTAGAAAATTTCAAATCACATATATAGCTTGCATCATACATCTATTGCTAGTATATACAAATACAAACTTACTAAATAAACACATTCAGGGACAAATTACAGAAAAATGCTTCATTCTAGAAGTTTACTTTAAGCTGAAAATACCTATGTTGTCTCTAAAATACAATCCCATTTACACATTTAAAGTACATACAATTTGGGAAAAAAACAAGGTTATAATGAAGAAAAGCCACATTCCTGGAATATTTCACAAATAAAACACGAGAAATCATATTGTACCAAAAATATTAATAGTGAATTCAATGAAACATGTCATAAAGAGAAAAAACCAATTTGGCATCTAACACGATGAGATCAACAGAAGGTAACTATTGCCCCAGATACACTTCTCAGGGGGATTTAACCACAGGCTTATGATCTGAACAGATCTGTGTCAGCTATTTAAGAGAGCCAAAAAGAAAAGTTGCAGATTGAGAGTATTTAACAATACAGAAAACTGAGGCAGCAACTACCAAAAGTCATTCAAATTGTTCTTTTCATTAAGGAAGGTGAAGAAAATTATTAAGCCACAAGGAACTGGGAAAGATACAGAAAACTCAAAAACACAGAATTTGAGAAAAGTTTGGTGGCTTTTTCTTTAATCACAGGAATGTGTAAAGAAAAAGACTTATGGATCCTAAAAAAATAGTAATTGCTTAAATAGATGACATTGATGGATATTATTTTCCAATAAATGTTAGGTATTCTAAAAAAGAAGGGTCCGCCTATTGCCATAGAATACATCGATTACTTTATGTGACAAGCAGACCAAAAGAAGTATGTTTGGGGGGAATATTTGTTTTTATCCACCTTTAACATTTTGGCTCAAATCATATTTAGAGGGAGTTTCTCAGCAAGGGGTCTTCAGTTACTCAGGCTTCAGAGAACATGAATGAACCACTTCCCTTTAAATGGTAACTTGGCAACTTGCTGAGGTGACTAGAACACAAGGATCCTTGGGGAGGAAGGAGGATTCAAATCCCAGAAG
Organism: Homo sapiens; assembly: GCF_000001405.40. Taxonomy (NCBI): domain Eukaryota; kingdom Metazoa; phylum Chordata; class Mammalia; order Primates; family Hominidae; genus Homo; species Homo sapiens. The sequence continues at coordinate 75,673,775 of NC_000014.9, read as the reverse complement.
CAATGCTAACAGTCCTCTGAACTCCTGACTTATTAAGGGACAAGACAAAAGTCATTTACAAGTAGAGTAGATCTTATTCAATCAGTAAAATAAGCAGCACAAGTTTTGAGCGCCTACTATGTGTCGGACATTAAATGAGCTCATGTAATCCTCACAATATCATATTCTCTCCATTTTACTAATGATTTTACTAATAATGAAACTGGTTAAGATTTTACTAATAATGAAACCGGTTAAAAGAGTCTAAGTCACTTGCCCAAGACTCACAGCTAAGAAATACCAAAGCTGGGATTTGAACCAATGGCTGAGAACCCAAGTGTACACTCTTTCCACCATACCACAAGACAGTCCTGATCCACAGTGTTATAACCTTTGAAGATGGCTACAGACTAACACCAGGGCTCAGAGCACTGCTTAAAATCCAAGAGGAGCAGAGATAAGTGAAATTGATAAAATACAAACAATGCAGAAAACAAGAGAAAGCAAAAGTTGGAATTTTAAAATTGGGTCTTTAAAATTATCAACAAAGCCAGGTGCAAATTCTCATTCCTATAATCCCAACACTTTAGGAGACTGAGCTGGGAGGACTGCTTGAGGCCAGGAGTTCAAGACCAGCCTGGGAAACATAGTGAGACCCCCCCATCTCTACAAAAAGCTTTTTTTTTTTTAATTAGCTAGCCATGGTGGTGTACACCCACAGACCAAGCTACTCAGGAGGCTGGGGCAGGAGGATCACTTGAGCCCAGAAGTCTGAGGCTGCAGTGAGCTAGGATTACACCACTGCACTCCAGCATGGGTGACAGAGTGAGACTTTGTCACTCAAAAAGAATAAAATAAAAATGATCAACGAAATTGACAAACCTCTAGCTAAACTAAGGAAAAAAGAGAAAAGACTGAAATAACTAAAATCAGAAGTGAAAGTGGGGACATTATTACAGACCTTACAGAAATGAAAAGGATTGTAAAAGAATACTATGAACAGTTGTATGCAAACAAGTTAGATAAGCTAAATAAAATGGACAAATACCTAGAAACACATAAACTACCAAAACTGACTCAAGAAGAAATAGAAAATATGAATAGACCTACAGCAAGCAGAGGTTGAAGGGAACCCATTCTATGAGGCCAGCATTACCCTGATACCAAAGCCAGACAAAGGCATCAGAAGAAAACTATAAATCAATATCCCTTATAAATACAGACAAAAAATGTTCAACAAAATACTAGCAATTAGGCCGGGCGTGGTGGCTCATGCCTATAATCCCAGCACTTTGGGAGGCCGAGGCGGGTGGATCATGAGGTCAGGAGTTCAAAACCAGCCTGCCAACATGGTGAAACCCCATCTTTACTAAAAATACAAAAATTAGCCGGGCATGGTGGTGGACGCCTATAATCCCAGCTACTCGGGAGGCTGAGGCAGAGAATTGCTTGAACTCAGGAGGAGGAGGTTGCAGTG